>NC_000012.12:43217703-43369218 GCF_000001405.40 Homo sapiens | reverse complement strand
TAACCAGAATATTGCAAGAAACATAAGTAAATAGAAATGCAAAACTTCACATATGCGCTTTGTTTCAAAGGTTATAGATAACCTTTGGAGGAAAAGCATCTTTGCCAATTTTGGGTTTGTTTAAAAGGCATAACAATAATTTTAAACAGATTCTATTTCTTCTTCCATAATGTGTTATCAGTTTCTTCATCTTTCCGTTTAGTCCATGGAAATGAATAGATATTTGTCAAAAGGCAAAGGAACGGATCACAAGCATGTGACTTTCATACACTTCTGCTGACATCAGTTCTATTAGCTTCCTGGGTCTGTAACGTCCTCCAAATGACAGTCTGTTATCAATAAAATGTATATTGAATACATTTTCATATTTTTATTCTCGCTTTTATCCTTTATTTCTAGAGTTCTCTTCACATGCTCTTATGTCATTTCCATGATTTCCAATACAGAGCATGTTTTCCTAGAAGAAAATATTCTCTCACATTATTAACTAGAGATTTTACATAGATAATGAAAAGAACATTTTTATGATAGATGAAGAATTGTAAGCTAGATGAATATAGCACTTTTAGGTGACTCATTGCTAATTGAATATATGAATCAAATCTACTACCTAAGACAAGTGGTAATTACTATATTGATATCATTTTGAAGAGAAGTAGTTAATAGTTTGTCATAGTCTCTTCTTAGACTATTCCATTTATAATTTTCATTATATGACATCTAAGTTACGCTTATATTAGGAAGAGAGGACATTTTCTGTTAGAGAACTTAAAGGAGATCAAGAGACACTAGAACTACAGGCTAAAATGAGTAAGAACCTGAATAAATCTATACATCTTAACTTAGGTCCAGAAACTCAAACGGAAAGTGGTGATGTTACATGAAAAAGACATAGGTGTTTCTTCGCCCAGCATGAGTTCAGTATGACTCCTTTAGGTCAGGGAGTGATTTATAAACAACCTAATATAATCGTAAGGTTCCAAAACAAAATAGCAAGACTGAAGGATTTATTTTTATTTGACACTGGAACATTACAGTTATTTTAAAATTTCTGTCTGTAAAACATCATTTTCAATCTATTTAGGAGTAGGAGGAGATCACAGGAAAGAAAGAAGGGTTTGAATCATGTCAACTAAGGAAAATGGAGAAGGTAGCCAGGAAAAGAGTGAGAGACAATGGTAACGATCTTTACATATTTAAAGAACTACCATGAAAGAGGAGTGAGGTTGCTTGTGTTCCTCCAGAGGCATTAATAGGGCAGTAGGTTCCAGCTCAACATTAAGAAGGCTTTGACAGGTAGAGTGGTTGGTAAGGAGAACCCAAATCTGGGGCCCAAATAAATAATCAATTTTTGCCTATATTTGTATGGATTGATCTTGAATTCTGCAACTTTGCTGAACTCATTTATTAGTTGTAACAGTAGATTACTTAGGATTTTCTTTATACACAGTGATGTCATCTGTGAATAAAGATAATTTTACTTCCTCCTCAATCTAGATATCTTTAATTTCTTTATCTTGTTTTATTGTGCGGACTACATCTTCTATTACAATACTGAATAAAAGTGGCAAGAGTGAACATCCTTGTTTTCCAATATTAGGCAAAAGGCATTCAGTCCTTCAGCAGTAAGTATGTTAGTTTCATGTGTATGTTAAGTATGTCAGCTAGGAGTATTTTCTAGATGTCCTTGATCAGGTTGAGGACACAGCCTTTTGTTTCTAGCTTAAGTGTTATTATGAAAGGATGCTGGATTTTCTGTGGAGAAGATCCTGTGGTTTTTGTCCATTACTGGATTGATAGAGTGTTACCACACTGATTTATTTTTATATGTTGAAACACAACCTTGCGTTCCTGTGATAAATCCCACTTAGTCATGGGATGTAATTATTTTCATATATTGCTAAATTTGGTTTGCTACTATTTTTTGAGAATATTTCATTCATATTTGTAGTAGAAATTGTTGTATCATTTTTTTTCTTGTGATATCTGTCTCATTTTGGTATCACAGAAATAGTGGCCTTATAGAATGTAGCGGGACGTGTTTTTTCCTCTTGTACTGTTTGGGAAGAGTTTGCAAAAAAATTATTCTTTATATGTTTGGTAGAATTTACCAGCAAAGCCATCTGAGCCTGGGCTTTTCTTCGTGAAAGTTGTTTTAATTACCAATTTACTCTCTTTATTTATTATAGATGTATTCAAATTTTTGTTGTTCTTGAATTTGTTTTGGTAGTTATGTCTCCCTAGGAATTTGTTTGTTTTATCTAAGTTGACTAATTGGTTGTCACACATTGTTCATAGTATTCCCTTACAATCCTCTGCTCTTCTTTTTCCAGTGTTTTAAGGTAGAAGGGTAGATTATTGATTTGAGATTATTTTTCCTTTTTAATATAGGCATTTGTAGTCATAAATTTTCCTTTAATCGATTCTTTTGTTGCATCCCAAAATATTTGGTATGTTGTGTTTCCTTTCATTTATTTTATTTTCTATTATCTATAGTTAGGTCTTTGGTATATTGGTTATTTAAGAGTGTGGAGTTTAATTTCCGCATATTTGTAAATTTCCCAAATTTTCTTTTTTTGGATTTCAACCTTTATTGTGACTGGAAAACACGCTCTGTGTTATTTTATCCACTAAATTTATTGAGGCTTATTTTATGTCATAACATATAGTTTGTCCTGGAAAACATTCAATACATTCTTGGGAAGAATGTGCATTCTGTTGTTGTTGGGTGAAGTGTTCTATAGACTACAGACCTTATTGGTTTATATTGTTGTTCAACTCTTTCTTTCTTGTTGATCTTCTGCTTAGTTCTATCTGCTGAAACTCTGCAACTATTATTTTTAAATTGTCTGTTTCTCAATTCAATCTTTTATGTATTTTGTTTTGTTTCATTTATTTTGAGATTTTGTTGTACACGAATATATAACTGTCATAACTTCCTAACATATTGACCTTTTTATTATTATAAAATATTCTTCTTTATCTACAGTAATGTTTTTGTTTTAAAGGCTAATTTATCTGATACTAGTGTGGCCACTCCAGCTCTGTTAGAATTGCTATATATATTTTCATCCCTTTACTTTCAACTTATTTATATCTTTGGCTCTTAAGAATGTCTCTTATAGAGTATTTTGTTGGATTACTGCCTTTGATTGGATTTTTTTAACATCACTATCGCTATGTCTGGATTTACATCTGCCATTTTACTTTTTGTTTTCTATATGTTTCATGTTGTCTTTGTTCAACTGTTCCTCCTTACTGCTTTCTTTTTATTCAGTGAATGTTTTCTGGTGTAACATTTTAATTTCCTCAGTTTTTTCATTATTTTTGAATTGCTTTGTTAGTGGTTATTCAAAGGCTTACAATATATATCTTATCAGAATGTACTTTACATTTTACTATTGAACATTCCTCTCTTTCCAGTGAAATATAAAGACAGTACTACTATAAATGACCTATTTCTTCTCTTTTTCTGCTATGTTTGTTATACATATACCATTTATAAAGGCAACAAACTTGCAACATATTGGTATTATATTAACTTAAATAATTTTATGTCTTTTAGATAATATGAGAGAAGATAGAGCAATTGTATATTCATAGAGTTTGTTACGTAAACCTTCTCATTTAGTATTTCTGGTTCTCTTTATTTCTTCCTGTGGATTTGACTTATCGTCTTGTGTCATTTCCTAACTCTAAAACAGCTTTGCTTCCATCTGTCTTATTTGTGCCATTATTGTCAAATATATTACATGTCTATATATTACAGGTCAATAATATACTTATATACACCTTGGTTTATACGATTGCTTTTAAATCAGTTAAAATAAGAAAAGTGAAGAGATATGCAATTATAGCGTATTTTATAATTATCTACATAATTAACTTTATCAGCACTCTTGATTTTTTAAGTTGATTTGTATTAATGTCTGATGTTACTTGATTTCAGCCTGAAGAACTTCCTTTAGTATGTCTTGTAAAGTAGATGTGCTAGCAAGAAGTCCTCTCAGTTTTGTTTATCTAGGAGTGTCTTTATTTTGCCTTCCTTTCTGAATGATAGGTTTGCTTATTAAAAATTATTGATGTACAGTTTTTTATTTTCAGCACTTTGAATATGTCATCACACTGCTGTCTGACTTCTAAGTAGGTAATAGATGTCAGCTGTTTATCTTATTGGGTTCCATGGATGTGGTCCTTTTTCTCTTGGTGTTTTTGGGGATTTTCTCTTTGCATTTGTCTTTCAATGTCTTTACTGTGTCATATTTGATGTGCATCTCTTTGTGTCTACTTGGCTTGGAGTCCACTAAGCTTCTTGGATGGGTAAATTAATAAGTTTCACTGATTTTGGAAAGTTTTCAGTCATTATTTTAATATATACCACTGATTTTGGAAAATTTTCAGTCATTATTTCTTCAAATATATTCTCTGCTCTTTTTAATTCTTCTGTCCTTTTGATGCTTCTTTTATGCATATGTTGGTGCACCTAATGGTGTGCGTTCATTCCTCTGAGGCCCTATTCATTTTTCTTCTTCTTTTTTCCTCTCTGTTCTTCAGATTGCATCATTAACATCCCTTTAAGTTTGCGAATTCTACTAGCTCCAGTAGACAATTTCAGCCCCTTTGTGAATTTTTTAATCTTGATTATTGTACTTTTCATCTTCAGAGTTTTCCTTTGACTCTTTGTAAAATATGATATCTTCATCTTTATTGTTATTCTCTATTTGATGAGACACAGTTATCATACCTCCTTTTACTTTTTTAAACATGGTTTCTTTAGTCCTTTGAACATATTTATATTAGCTGCTTTGAAGTTTTTGTCAGCTTAGTCTGACATCTGATATCTCTCAAAGGAAGTTTTTCTTGACTTTTTTCCTGTGTATGCATCATGCTTTGTATGCCTCATAAATTTTGTTGAAAACTGGACATTTCAGGTACTGTATTTTAGCAACTGTGATTACTGATTTCACCCTCCCTTTTGAGGCTTCTTGTTATGGTTATCGTTTACTTCTTTGTTTGTGTATTTTTTTTAATTACCTGGCTGAACTGTTTCAGTGAATTCTATTTCCCTTGTAGTGTGCAGCCTTTGATGTTACTCCTCAGTGGGCACAGTCTTGGGCATGCACAGTGACCGTGATGCTCCTCTCCTTCAGGGATAACAATAGTCTTAGGTGGGCTTTCTTCAGTTCTCTTTCCCTGAAATTGTGTTGAGTTTATGCGTGGTCTGTCTCTACTGATATCATGCTTAGCTCTTAGTCTCCACTAATTGCTAGATGATTTCCCTATTCTTTCAACAATATTTTGGGGGCATAAATAACTCCATAATCTGATCCAATTAAATAGAGGCCCCATGGCCTCAATTAGTCTTATAGTCTGTTTTTGAGATCAGGAAAGTCCCCAAGAAGAGCCTTTCTTAGCTGCCTCATTCCCTGATTCTCTCTGTTAAACTTCAATCTTATCTACCATTTGCCTTCATTGAGCTACTACCCTCCTCTTAACAACACACCACTAAAATCTTCTTTTCCAGAAAGTACCTAAACTTGAACTTCTCCAGGTTTTATTCCAAATAAGCTAGTCACAATAGGAAAAGCTAGTGAATTTCCTATTTTTACAACTTGATTCTCTCCCTGGGAAGAAGCTCTGCAATACTGTGGATCTGGGGACAGGGACAGTGGCCCATTCCTCAGAGTAACACCCCTGCTCAATAAATAGAGTGCTGAGTCATGGCAGTAATCCCTGGTCTTCTTGGCTTTTGACCTTGTCAGCATGGAGTGTCTGCCTTACCAGTGATTTTTTGTGGGGACATTTCAGGCCTAGTGTGCTTGATCTACCATGCCTGGGATAGATTGACTGCTCTGTGAGTAGGGACTGGGTGGAAGAAGGGAGCTTCAGACTCTCAGCTACTCTTGCCTATAATACAACTTCTGCAGTACAGACTTGGGTGGGATGAGAAATGCTGGTGGCCTGCCTGTCTCAAAGAGAAACCATAGCCTTAACAGGGAGCTAGGGGGAAATGGAGTCCTGTATCCTTAACTGCATTCACCATGATTAGAATGATCATCTTGCTGAGGTGGGAGGAAAAGAGGGCGAGTCATGGGAGGTGGGAGGAAAAGAGGGTGAGTCATGGTTCAGATGCCACAGGTTCTCACTGTTCTTACCTAGATTTAATAGATATTCTTTTTTTTTTCTTGGTAGCACAAATTTATTATTTAACAGTTATGGAAGTCAGAAATCCGAAATGGGTCATACTGGGCTAAAATCAAGCAGTCAGCAGGGCTGCATTCCTTTCTGGAGGCTTTAGGAGATAATCTGTTTTCTTGCCTTTTCCAGCTTCTAGAAGTTGCCTGCATTCCCTGGCTCTTGGCCCCTTTTCACCTTTTTTTTTTTTTTTCTAATTATACTTTAAGCTTTAAGGTACATGTGCACAATGTGCAGGTTTGTTACATATGTATGCATGTGCCATGTTGGTGTGGTGAAATCAAGAAGAAAATCTTCTTGATTTTCTTCTTGAATAAATGTCTTCTTGAAGAAGATTTTCTTGAATAAATGTTTCTCCCTTTTCCGTATAACCATAGAACAAATTTCAGAGACTTTAAGTGGTGGTTATAGTTATCATTTTCACCAGTCATGTTTGTTTCACTGGAGAGAGTGTCCATGGGCTCCTCACATCACCATTCTAGAAGTGTTTCCTCACATGATTGTATTTTTAAAGGCAGGCAACTTTGCAGAGGAATCCTATGTTCTCATTCAATCTTTGAGGCTGGTTAGCCCTATTTATTTCCATTCTTCTTCCCAATTCCCTATTTCACCCATATTGGTGATGAGTACCTACCTCCAACATGGTGACTCTGACCTACTACTTTCCATTCAGTTGCCTTCCCAGGACTGTCCTTTCTCTGCTGAGTCCCTCCTCTCCTGAAGTTCTGCACTGTCTCTTTTTATACGTGTTCTTAAGTCAAGGATGTGTAATCTAAAACTTTTAACATTCTGAACAGTTTTTTCCTTGATATGTGGATGTCTTTTGTTGGTGACACATCCATTTCAACTCTCTTAAATGGAGATTATACATTCTACAATGGTTAACCTATCTCAAGACTGGTCAACTTTGTCCAACAACCCATCCTCCTTTTAAGCTGTGCCTTCTGGTCATATATTTGATGTAATTAGAGATAAGTAAATTGACAATGCAACCTAGTCTGCTAATACAAGGCCTAACAAATGTTGTTACTTTGGAAAGGTCACCCAGTTCTGGAAATCTGGTCCTTGTCATTACATGTTGTATTGGGAAAGGTCTGGTCAATGAGACATCAAGAAAATCACAGGAGACGCATATACAAGTAAATCATATAACTGTCAAATGGAATTAAAATTTTATTTTATTTTATTAATGAATTTTCTTATAGGAAATACCTTAACATAAGTCCAATTATTACAAATAAAATATTTCTTCATGTACATGGAATTTGAATGAGATATTTGCACAATCAGGTTTTTAAATCATAAGATAGCTATTTCCATTTCTTTCTAACTCCCTTTCTCCAATGTCTCTGTAATCCTCTTTTTTCCCTATAAGATCTTGAAAAAGTTATATAGCTATAAACTGCGATTGCCCAGTTTATAGCTGAAGAAACAGACATTCTGTGTTAACAGTCTGTCCAAGATCCTGAAGAAAGTCATAGGCAGAACTGGCAATAAAATGCTCTTCCTGCCCACTGGGGCGAGATGTCTCTCTTGCATGGTTTTCTAGGCATTTCTGAAACGCAAAGCTCCATTTCCAAAATTGGTTGTTATTGGGCATAGACACATGCTGTCAAAAGGAGCTGTGCCCATCTATATTCAGCCTGTATTTGTCTCCTTGAGGCTACTGTTACCAAAAATACAAACTGCCCAATATTTTTGGAGATGTTCTGTAATATATAAACCAGATTCTGTGTTATGTTACACAGCATTTGCATGAATACTCTCCAGATGCTTGACGTCACAGAAAGAACTTATTCTGTTGTTTGGGATTCATCAAACCCAAATCCTCTGTGTTTGCATGTGACAGGATAGTCTGGGATAGGAATGCTAAAAAAGAGTATGGACACATATGGCACTCTTTAGGGAAAATAAACTTCGCCACATTGCAATATGAGATGAAGTTAAGGAGTGTGGTGTGACTTTAGAATGCATATGTCGAAAGTAAAGTAAAGTAAATGTTTTGCACTTTTTGCAAAGCCACAAAAACTTTTAAAAAACAAAAGTAATGTGGATCTATTTAACTGGTTGGTAATTACATAAAAGTAAGAGAAATAATCATATTCGGCTAATGTCAGTGGGTCTTGGCCAGCATCCAGTTTGAATGTTAAGAGTCAGTTGTTAGATATTTGGAATGTGTATTCATTATTATCAGGGTGTAGAGTTTAATATATATCCATAAGATCTACCCTTTCGATTACATTGTTTAGATCATGTCCTTACTTTTGTTCATGTGATCTCTCTTGTTACTGCAAGTGGTATGTTGATTTTTCCTATTATTAGGTTGTGTCTGTGTCTCCATGCATATCTCATAGTTTTTGCTTCATAAAAGTTGTTCTCTATGATTTGATACATAATATTTATTATGTGTTATGTCTTCTTTATGGATTATTACTTTTAGCACTTCCTTGTCATGGTTTAATGATTGGGGACTCAAATTCTCCTTTATCTTTTATCAACATTGCTACCCCTACTCTCTTTTTATGTCCTTTGTCTTTTTATGCTTATTTTAAAATTTATTTTTATTTATTTTTTTGAGACAGAGTCGTGCTCTGTCGCCCAGGCTGGTATGCAGTAGCACAATCTCAGCTCACTGCAACCTCTGCCTCCCAGGTTCAAGAAATTCTCCTGCCTCAGCCTCCTGAGTGGCTAGGATTACAGGCGACTGCCACCACGCCCGGCTAATTTTTGTATTTTTAGTGGAGACAGGGTTTCACCCTGTTGGCCAGGCTGGTCTTGAACTCCTGACCTCAGGTGATACATCCACCTCAGCCTCCCAAAGTGCAGGGATTACAGGCGTGAGCCACCGTGCCCGGCCGGTGATATGTGTTTTCAAGTCTTACTCATTTTAAAAATTGAGTTGTTTGTTTCCTTACGGTTGAGTTTTGAGTTTTTTTATATGTTCTGGTCTTCTGTTGGATACGGCATTTTAGTCCGAACCTTGTCTTTTCTTTCTTTTAAATATCTCTCACAAAGCAGTTTTCAATTTTAATAAAGTCAAATTTTTCTTTTATGGACTGTACATTTAGAGTCATTTCTGAGAAATCATTAAACTCAAATTACTGAGATTTTTCTCCTTTTGGAAATTTTCTTCAAAAACTTTTTATAGTTTTATGCTTTATACCTAGACCTACAATTTATTTTGAATTAAATTTTGTATTAAGTCTGAGGGATTTATAGACTTGATTTTTTGTCTGAGTCAAAAACATATAGACAGACAGCTGTTCTAACACCATGTGTTGAAAAGACAATGTTTTCTCCACTTATTTGCCTTTCTACCTTTGTCAAAAGTATTGGCCATATTTATGTGGGTCTTTTTTTTCCTTTGATCTACATGTCTCTGTCTTCACCAACACCATACGTCTTGATTAGGATAGCTTTACGATAAGTGTTAAAGTAGCATGGGTCCTCCAGCTTCATTCTTCTTTTGTAAGCTTATTACGACTATTTAAATCCATAGCCTTTCTATATAAATTTTAGAATCAACTCTCCGTATGTACAAAGATTCTGGGTGGAAAATTTGTATTGGTATTATATTAGATCTATAGATTACATACATAATAAAATGTGTACAGTACATTTAAAAACTGTAAAACATAATTATTTAATGAGCACACATGAACCAACCAGTCAATCCAAGAAGTGAAACGTTAAAACTTGCATCTATCTATATGCTTCTCCTCTATCTTATACCCATACTTACCTTTTTCTTTGATGCAGCCAGTTACTCAAGAATAAACATTCCAATTTATTGAATTCCTAGGTCTTTTGAATCATTTTACCTTCCATTTGTGATTTGGCTACTGGAATTTTACTTTGTTTAGTGGCTGCTTCTTCAAAATGTCAGGAGAGTAGAAGAAGAGGTAAGTTTCATACTACGTATCTACTCTCCTGACATTTCATACTACATATGCATGTATGGAGAGAGAGACAGTGAGAGAGAGAGAGGACCTCGTATGTTGAACTAATTTTTAAGTTAAAGATTAGGTTTGAGGTTTAAATTTTAATCTTAAATGAAGTATTGGAATTAACACACTTATTCACACTCACTTATTTATTACTTCTAAAATCCTATAGGAATGTATAAGTACCTTTTTATGGCACTTATAGTTCTCTTGTTGAATTACTTTTTTTTTTTTTTTTTTTTTGAGACGGAGTTTCGCTCTGTCGCCCAGGCTGGAGTGCAGTGGCGCGATCTCGACTCACTGCAAGCTCCGCCTCCCGGGTTCACGCCATTCTCCTGCCTCAGCCTCCCGTGTAGCTGGGACTACAGGCGCGCGCCACCATGCCTGGCTAATTTTTGTATTTTTAGTAGAGACGGGGTTTCACCGTGTTAGCCAGGATGGTCTCGATCTCCTGACCTCGTGATCCGCCCGTCTCGGCCTCCCAAAGTGCTGGGATTACAGGCGTGAGCCACCGCGCCCGTCCGAATTACTTTTTTTAGGTACATATGCTATTTCACTTAACAGATTTAGAGTGAGATCTGTCTGAACTTTCATGGTACTTGACACCATGTCTGCCAGTCAGTTAATTTTGAACAAATGAGTGAGATGTATTTTTACCTCCGTCAACATCATACCAAATTTTAGATAATTGTTTTACCATTTTTTTTGAGATCATATTTAGCTTTCTAAGTGAGGACTAAGAACAGAAGTAAAGCTCATGAAAATTAGTACAGAGAAATGGAACAATCGATAGTTCTAGACTCAACTAATTGTGTTAATGACCACCTAAGGCTCTCAGTAGTCAGTCAGATTTATTCCTTTTACTTCCAATGTGTATACATTTGAATATTTTTAAGGCACATTGATCAGGGAGGTAGAGAGCAAATGGAAGAATGGAACAACAGTATTAGGTTGCATGGCCCAATTGAGCACTCAAGGAGCATCTGGTTACAAGAAATTTACATGGTAGAATATATTTTCATTTTTTAATAACTTTATTTGGTGAAAAACCTATCTGAGAAGGAATGTGAGATTGGAGGTATACAGTGCAAAACCTGTATCAGGTTGATTAAGTATCAAATAGAATAATATATCCTAAGAATCAATTCTTTTTATTCAAATATTTGTGAACATAAAATACGACTTTGTCTGGTTTTAGTGTCATTCATTATCAGAGTCTGAAGAGTTTTATATATGTATTTGTGTATTTACTTTTATAATACTACTATTTAATGTTTTTAATGCTGCACTTAATTCATCCATTCAAAAACACTTATTGAGAACTTAGGCCCTGTTCTGGGCTCTGGGAATATAGCAATGAAACTGACATAGAGTTCATATTCTAAATTTCATAACCAAGTGATGTTGTATGTGATACATTTTCTTTGAAATTTATCTAAAACTAATTATTTCTGCAATGGAAAATTCTCCATTTATTGTCATTGTTTTATGCGAATATTTGATCTTCATTTGTTTTTAAATGAGAAATATACAATATAAGATTGCTAAGAAATCCAAGTTAATGACTAAATTGATATCTATTTGTTTTAGCAATATTAATAATTCACATTATATATACAGAGTTTATTTAGCTTTTGCTTTTATGACAAGATAATATTTTCATTCATATAATATAAAATCCAGTGTTTCATCACAATCTTGCTCAAGATTCATGAGTCTTAAGCCATTGAGATATTGTGAGGTAATTAAAGAATGTCGTAATATTGTTCTGAATCTATATGCCTACTGAACATTGTCAGTAGACTGAACTTGTTTGCAGTTCTACTTTTCAATGTTTAAATCTGTACTGTAAAATTATATAAATATGACACAAATGTTACCTATTTTAATAACACATTTTCTCAGTTAATATTTACAATTTAACTGTTAACAAAGATAGTCTGAAGTATTTTGACATAAAAATGGTCCTGCACTTGGAAAGAATTAGATCATGAAGCTCATAGGGGACCCACACACCATAATGTGTGTAAATCATGTGGCATCACACATCTGCACGCTGTTTCTGGTGTTTAAAATGGATGTAATTGCCAGGAAAATAATATTATATTAGATAGTTTTGTGTGGTGAGTTAAGAAGTAATATTCTTACCACAAAAGGAATGGGGCAATAACAGAGATTCTGGAAAATATGTCAAATAGGTGAAACAGCATAGAAGTTAGCAATGAAGGGTCAAAAATGGAACGTGTAGAAATGTTAAAGTGCAGCAAATGTTGGTCCCCGTGAACACTATTTCTGTCAGAACTTGCTAATTTCTACAGGACCATTAGTTCTAATTGTCGAATCATAGAGTCCTAGAGTTGGGCAGAGTTACTTCTCCACAAATAACATTATATAGTATTAATTCAGTTGCCCCTTGCAATTGAGAAGACTTATTTGTAATCAAATATTTTGTAAATTCCATCTATTTTTCTTTGTTTTATTTACAATCCAGGGACAGTTTAGCATTAATTTGTCAGGAACTGGGATGAAGATATCCAGCACAGCAAAGTGGCTCACTCAGGGGAGTTATACCTCTGTCAGCATACGAAGATCAGAGGTAAGTCCTGCGGGACCAAAAAGCCTGTTTGAAATACTTCTGAGCTATGAACTAGCATTAAAGGTTCTCTACCTAAAATGTAAACTTATATGAAATTGATGACTAAAGAGATATTGCATATAATGGGTATATTACATATAATGGAGCACAACATTAATTTATGAAATGAAACAGGATTCATTTGTATTAATGTGCATGTGGAGGTTTTGTATATTTATGAATCCATATATAGGCTATAGATATTTGAACATAAATTGCCAAATGCCAGGACATATAGATTTTGTCTATCTCAAGTTTGGAGCTAATGACTTGAAATACAGATGTTCAAGAAAGGTATGCTTTTTACTATACTTTAATTACTGAAGGTTTACAGGTTTTAATATTTCAAAATGAGGGTTAAATTTTTTGTTTTCTTCCCTCACTGTTTTAGTGATGGGGGTGGTGTTGGAGACACTTGTCATTTAACAAATATTCTTCACAGTTTTTTCAAGAATTAGGATTATGTATTTATGTTGTACTCATGTTTTCCTATCTTTATCTAGATAACATTGTTATTTTATCTATGAAAATGTAGACTGTTATGTAGTATTTATATATATAGTTATAACTATTTTTATAGTTTATTCTTATAATTATTGTAACTATAGCACATGTTGTATTATCCAAAGTAGAATCCACTTAATTTTCTGCAGGTATGGTGTTCTAACATGTACACTTCATGAAATGCTTTCTATTACTTATGGTTATTGTGTCTTAGATAACATAGCCCTGCTCATAGTAAATCTGGATCTAGGTTATAGGTGTTCTCACCTATATCACACATAAATTAGCACCAGCAACAGCCCCGGTATACTCTAATGTTTTATGACTTTTATTTATTATGATAAAAGTAAATTTAGTTATACTCCTATTTATATAAATATTTCTCATAAATGAAATTTAGTATTCTGATAGTCATAGCCTTTAAAACATTCTATTTCTGAAGATGATAAAATTGTGCTTAATGAAGGATTTGTGTTTTTATTAACTTCTCAAGATTAATTCATTATTCATTTCGTTGAGAAGTTCTATCTCAATCAAAAATGTTGCACATAACTAGTTCTTGAAATCTGATGCCTGGTGTGAAACTGACTGGTAAAATCCAGATATACTTACAGAAATGCAAACATATTTTCCTTTGCCAATAAGTTTAATGAAGATAGAGTTTTTACTTCAACAGAGGGAATAGGGAATTATACAACTCTGAGATTTTACTGCCATTCCCTTCTCTGTGTACTCAGATTCTCCAGAGTTAAATTGCTTTAGAAAGAGAAGGTAACTTCAAAAGCTTCCGGTCTCAAAACATTCTTCCATCTCAAAATGTCCCAAGAACCTACAGTTTTCTTCTCTATCTTTACTCCCTTAGATTTAAAAAAATTACCTTTTCCAGATATGATAGGAGTTCAACCTATTTTTGTCTCATGTTCTGGAAATGTCTTCAGTCTTGACTTTTAGACCTAAAGACGTGAGGCGTCTATCACGTCCTGACCAACCCACTTCAGCCTACCTCTGCCACCTGTTCCTCAGTGAACTGCTCTGCTTATGGAACAATCTCCCATTTTAGTTCTTTTCTAATTCTAATGATTGCTTTCAGCCCAGTTTTTATTTATTTATTTTCTCCATTTTACCACCTTCTATACTTTTCTCCAGAGTGTGTTTCTAACGCCTCCACGAGATGCTTGAAATAAATGGGATAGAAAATGAATTATATGCCTTTAAAATCATTTGTACAATATCTTTCTTTTATTTAAAGAGATTATTATATAAAATTATGTAAATACTGGATTGCAAATTGGGAGAGGTTTTAATAAACTCACTGAAGCAAATACATACCTAGATGAAAAATATGTGGATTGAGATTGAAATATGTGGATTGGATTTAAATCTTAATTGAGATTTAAATTGTATATAATATTCAACTAGCTAATATGAATCTCAGGTTATCTAATATCCTTTAACTTTCCCATGTCCACCAATTTGAACTAATATCAAAAGGCATATGATCTTTGACCTCAAATGCAATTGTTATAGGAAACCTCTGCTAATGATTTTAGCCATATGATTCAAAGCATTTGCTTTTTCTGCTATTTGCATACAGATACCAGCTTGTATAAGATTCTTCTGTATTTCTTCTTCCGATTTTCAGGATGGAACTAGATTTTTCGGCAAATGTGGAGGGTACTGTGGAAAGTGTCTTCCTCACATGACTACTGGTCTCCCAATTCAAGTCATATGAACATTTAGAAGGGGGAAGTATGCCCTAAAGAGGGGATATTCTCTGGAATATTCAAATAACTGGTGCTCATTTCTTTATATCTCCCTTCCCGAGATTTCCATGTCCAATATGTCTCTGCCTTTTTTTCAGGGTGCTCATCAGGGATTCAAATCACTGCTTAATAAGGTCTATAAAAGAAATTTAAGAGCTATCTTAATTTATTTTATATCTAATCAGGATATTTTTTAAAGAACATAATAATTTATAATAGAGAATACCAGGATTGAATGAATTATACCAAGACAGTGTTGCTCTTAACATCTTGGCCTGGACCACACTTATTTTATACCTATAAACACACATGTAAATCTCTGCTCAGTTTTGTACTGTACAATGAAATGTTTATTCTACTTGCTAAAATGAAGCAAGTAAATATTAGGATAATAAACATTCAAAATTACTATAAACATTATTGAATCTTTCCGACAAATAGCAAATCAATAGTTACATAAAAAAGCACAGAGCCATTGTACTTTGTACTCATACAGTTTAGATACCTTCTTTTATTTTTTCTTTAATTTTTGCTTGTGGATTATGGGGCTTCAATTAAAAAATAGTCCTCAAAATGAGGTACAAATTGTGTATTAAAAAGGTATGTTTGGGTTAAATAGTAAATAAAAAATTTTGTGGGTATAATAAAGATATGATATAATTTAATTTTTAAAATCTACCTCAAATTTGATTGTACTTATAAGAACAATACATTGTTTTTATAATGTTAATATTCTGTTTTGCCTTTATAATTCTTGTATGTGTATATATATTCTTTAAAAATCTATTTTCTCAAAGTTATGTACTGTATTCTATTAATTAAATATGTGAGAATTCTTTTAATTTTGAAGATCTTATTTTGGTAAACATAAAAATATATTGGCATATGTAAAAGTTTTATTAGAGATGTTTAAGTTATTTTATATCAGAGGTTTCTCAAAGCCAGAACATAAGGGAGTATAAAAATTAACTATTAATTGGCAAATTCTCAGGTATTGAGTTTTTTTCATGCAGATAATTTAACCATGTATTATATAATAATATACTTTTGAAAGACATGTAGACAAATATATTTTTCTATGGAAATCTACTCGGAAAACCAAAAAAAACCAAATGGAATCTACTAATAGATTTTTGCCAGTGAATACTAGTGTACTTTTTTTACCCACAAAGTGTTTTTCTCCCAAACATTTATTACAGATGTATTGTACCATATAAAGCTCTAATACAATTTTGTTTCAATGTGGTTAAACATTTGAAGATGTCTGTATCAAAAGAAATATTTTGTATTATGTGCCTTAAGCCAGTTACAAACATTAAGACAAAATGTGTGACATTTTCCAGGAATCTTTTCATGTATATTTAGAATCTTACAATTGATAAACATTTAAATAAACATATTTTTATGATTCATTAGCACTTTGTTTTTATTGTCTTTACATGTTAAAAAAAGAACTTTCACTGCAAAGAGCTATAACTCTAAAACTTCAGAAATTCTAATTTTTTTTTTTTTTTTTGTGACGGAGTTTCACTCTTGTTGCCTAGGCTGGAATGCAATGGCACGATCTCAGTTCACTGCAACCTCTGCCTCCCGAGTTCAAGCGATTCTCTTGCCTCAGCCTCCTTAGTAGAGGGGATTACAGGGGCCTGCCACCACACCTAGCTAATTTTTTGTATTTTTAGTAGAGACGTGGTTTCACTGTGTTGGCCAGGCTGATCTTGAACTCCTGATCTCAGGCAGTCCACCCACCTCGGCCTCCCAAAGTGCTGGGATTACAGGCGTAAGCCACCGTGCCTGGACAATTCTAAGAAATTTTTAATCAAATTTGTGCAGTTAGGATGAAGCACAGCTCCTATCTATGCCCTTCTCATGGCAGAGGAAACCTGGCAGGAAACCTGGCAACAGCTTGCAATGCCTCTGAAAGCTTGTATATACAAGGACTACTGGTGTCTACTCAGATTCAAGTGACCAAACCAGATCACATGACCAAGTCCTACGCAGTGGGGCAGGGAAATGTACTGCAGGGCAGGATGGCCAGATCTATGGAAATGGGTGGGGACTTAACAATCTCTCCCAAGGCAAGAAGCAGGTCCTTGTGATATATCATCTTCAACTCCCTAGAATTTGCCCAAGTACCTCCAAAGTGGTTAAATAAATTAAATTACCACTGGAAGAGAATAAAAATTTTAGTTGATCCACATTCTCAATGACACCTGAATTTCTGTTTTGTTTTGTTTTCTAATCTGGTGGGACATAGCATGGTATTTCATTGTCTGAATTTATATTTATCTGAATACCAGAGTAGATGGGGATCTCTCATACTTTTTTACATTTGGCTTCTTTTTCTGAGAATAACTTTTTTATTATCTTTGTCAGTTTTGGTTTAGGATTTTTTTTAAGTTAAAGGGCTTTTTAACAGTTACCATCAGAGTGGGAACAAAAAAATATAAGTTTACAGTTTGGGGCTGTTATTTTAAATTCACTTTCTTTGTCACTTTTCTGTGTCTATGTCAAAGTGTTGCTGTTTTGCTCAAATATTTTGTCTCCTTTCTAACCCCAAATTCTCAGTACATAGCATTACTTTCTATTTCACAAGAAAGAAAACCATTGAAAATAAATTCTTTCAACTTCCTGCCACTTATACGTCTCCTCTCCATGTCCCTTGCCCCAAAAAAGAGAAAGAAAAAAAAAGTCATATTTCTGAATAAAAGCCAAGCAGCTTTATGTGGATGCAATTTAAAACATTTGAGAATCTCTTGCCAAAAAGCATGCTTTTGTATTGTACCTTAAATTAGTTGCAAATATTAATACACAACTTACAACGATTTACTTGTTTAACATTTAAGATGACATGCTCCCTGCATCTATTTTATCTTTTTTTGTTCATGCCCTGATGGAGAAACAATTACCCTGCTCATGTCTAAGGACAATCACTCAACCTCTGCCTTTGATTTCTCCCACTCTGAATTCTCTAGGACTTCTTTCCATTGATTATTCTGTCTCCCTTTCCTTTCTCTCACCACTGGTTCCTTTTCTTCATTCAAAAACCATGTTTGCCTGTCTTCTATATTAAAACAAAAATATCTCATTTTCCCGTCCAATCAATAATTATGTCAAGTTAGTTTATCATATTGTTTAAATCTTTTTTATGTATTTATTGATTTTTCTAATTGTAGTATTGATTATTGAGAGATTGTAATCAATATAGTCAGTACTGCAATTTAAAAAAATTGTAAAACAGGTAATTCTCTCTATTTTTAGTGTTTCCTCCAGGAATTCCAATATAGATCCCTAACCTATCATAATCTACCTTCAATGTTATAAACTTCAAATACAATTTTATATAAATTCTTGCTTTAAACGTGTGTTTTAAAATAAATAAGATACTATAAATTATCCTTTATATATTAGCTGGGTATGGTGGTGTGCATCTGTAATCCCACCTACTCTGAAAACTGAGGTGGGAGGATTGCTTGAGCCCAGGAGGTCAAGGTTGCAGTGAGTTATGATAGTGCCACTGCACTGCAGCCAGGGCAACAGAACCAGATCATCTTTTAAACAAACAAACAAACAGACAAAGAAAACCCTAACATCATGTACAAACATTGATGGAAATAGAAGATAGTAATATAATAAATTTTGCAATAACAACTTGTTCACAACTGAGTACAGATTTGAAAAATATAAAACTGTTTTATGATGCTATAATAACAAGAAGGAACAGAATTAATTTATTTTATTCTCCCTCAATGTCACTCATCAGGATAAAATATATCTTGGCTACTAAATGTAGCTATCAGCCAACATTGACCATCGTATGGACTTCTAATTTTTAAAAATGAGTAGGATTTTCAAACATAGAGAACTCATTCTTTCCCCTGTTAATTTTTTTCTTATAATTTTAGAGTGTCTTTATTTGCTAAGTGTTTACTTAAATATTTTGCTAAAAGGTAAATAATAGGATTCAATTATACAGTACTTGCACCACTCAATCTGTAAAAGATAACAGGATTACTTTTGCTACTTTTCACTTACCCCTTTTTCTAGTAATTTTCCATATTTGAAACTTGAAAGAATATTTACAACTGACAACAGTGGCATCTGCTGGCCATAATGATTCCTCAGAAGAATCAAGAAAAATTGCCAACCTAATTTCTTCCGTAGTTTCTTGGAAATCTTGAGGCACAACTATTGCAATGCATTAGGTGAACTATCTTTGAGTCATCTTTAACCCAATTTAACATTAATATCGACATCTATATTAATATCCTACATTCATACATACATGCATTCTTTTTGCAACTTCAATCTGAGAACATTCTTAATACAAAATCTTCCTTGACCTCCAGGAGAAAATAAAGAAGTTTTTCATGTAATAATTTTGTTCAGGAATTTTTATTCTGTAAAGGGGGGAAATGTGGAATGTGAACAGAGGCTTTCTGGACCAGGGTGTAGCAGTAATGAATAAGGTAACATTGAATAAGTTCACCACTTGGGTTTTTTTTTTCCTCAGCTATAAAATCAGAAATTCAAAACAAATGCTTCTAAGGTACTTTTCAGCTGTGAAAGTTTATATGTATAAATTGTGTCTGGTGCACTAGTAAGCAGTTACTATTTGTTAAATGTGTAAAGCTACTTGGTATTTAATATGAGTAAAAAACTGTTCAGGGGTAGCTTATCAATCTACTCTTCACTTTTGTGATACAGAAAACTGTTCAATTTACATATGTCAAAGCAAAGATTTACTCCCTTCACAGTTTTATACCCAGTGTTTTATAATTAAGAAAACCCAAGTTTTTGATGTGCTCTGCCACTTTTTGTATGTGTGGTCTCATAGCAAAACACTGATACAATCTGAACTTCAGTATTCTCAATTGCAAAACAAATAGAAGAAAAAATGTCTTGCTTACCTTCCTAGCATAAAAATTGTGAAGTTAAATGAGCTATTCTTCTAAAAATGTTTTCAGTAGTACAAATGGCCCAATTAGCAAAATCCCTTTATTTTAAATATAGAAAGCAGCTTTGAAAGCATTATAGTTAGTAGAAGACTGGTTCTGAGGTCAAAACTCCAGCTCTACTGCTTATGTATGTCCTGTGATCTTGGGAAAATCACTTAATTTCTTTGAATTTCATGGGAATGTTAATAGTACCTGTCTCATTTTGTTGCAGATATTAATATGTAAAATATTGCACTAAGTCAGGTACATAATAAGTTTTCATAAATGGTAGCTATCATTACTATTGTCATGATGACCTGTGGGGTCAATACTTTTGTAAACTAATCCTAAGGCATACAAACATTTTGTGTATGTAGTGGGGAGTAGAGGAAGTGCTGCCTCTTGGAAACACAAGTCCCAAGGAAAGTGAGGAGGCTTTCTGCTTTTCCATACATTATTTGCAGTATAGATCATCTTGGACCATCTGACTTAAATCTGATGCTCTCACCATCCATCTCTACTGAACACCACTGCTGTGCTCCTGACCTGCTCTGAATTAGCAATCACCCCTCACCTTGGAAAGAATTAGCCACAGTCCAATGTGTGGATTAGATCTCGCAATATTGGTTTCATTTAGACCTTGCCATTTCTGCCCCTTCTGACTCCTTTTTCCTCTGATCTTCCTCCTAATTCTCTGCTCTTTTCCCTTGCCCAGTTTCTCTTCTGTTTCAACATATCACATAACGAATGCCTTGGCATGACCTATCATAAAACCATCTTGGAAGGTAACGTCGAGTGCTTTCTAAGCAGCTTCATCAAATGTGTAACCCAGATGGTTGAAAAAGATGATCTCAGTATGAGGTATCTGTGAAGGTGCCAACCAAGCCAGAGTGTAGCCAACTTCAGTTACATTAGCACAAGGACTCTCTTTACAGGGCAACACTTACCTATTCCATCAGTTAGTATTCTGACTTTTGGTTCTGTCTTTCCATCATTTCATAAAAGTAGTATTTTTTTTTAAAAAAAAACCTCTTTTGCTTTTTTTTTAAACCAAATTTTTAAAATGTAATAATGATGTATCTGTATTTACACCAGAGATGGTAGATACCAGGAAACGTGCCAGTACTCTCCTATGTGGCACCCAGAGTAGGCATTAATCATTCCAGACATTTCCTACTACTAATCAATCTGGATATATCCTCAAAACTCTTAGTATAGTTTCCTGGGTAACCGCCACCAATATATCAAATTTGACACATGAAGGGATATCTCTCTGCTTTCTCTGAACAAGGTCTGGATAGCCAAGAGGAATCAACTTTCCCAGAGCCTTGCCTAATGGCATAATTCGATAGAGATGAATTTCCCAAAGCCATTCAGCATGTGTTTATTGAAAACAACTCTAGCCAAGACACTAGGCTAAGAATAATTGAGCAAGTTAACACAGTCCCTGTCATCACAGAGTATATAATTAGTTTGGTATGTAGTTTTTAGTATCTTCTCAAGTAGCAAGTGTTGGAGTTTTGCTTTTGTTTTGTTTTTAATTAGGACTAGCCAGAAAAAAAAAAAAAGGTATTGTGTCATTGAGGTATAGGTGGGGCAAATCCCAGACTTGGGATTTAGGGAGGGGTGTGAGACAAAGTAACTGAAAAGGAAAGTTGCATGGAATCTCGGGCAAAGATAGTTTAAAATCTTGCTGGAGAAATTCCCTGGAGAAAAGTCATCATTTATTTTGTGTTTAGTATCTACATCATTTTTCTTATGTTTCATGCATGCCCCGCTTTATCAGGTGGATCATGTTTCCCAGTGTAGAGGCTGAAAATATCAGACAACTTGCTTTCCTGACCTCCCTTGCAACTAAGATCCAGCCATATGACCTCAGCTCCAACAGTCGGATGCACCATCACTGATTTTCATCAGAAGTTAGTGACTACGAGAAGTAGAAGCAGTGCAGTACACACCAGTGACAGATGGCACATTGGTGATGCCTAGATTCAGGGCCCAGAGGCAGCAGCGGGAGCTCTTGTGGCAGCATCATGCATCAGTAGAGCAAGCTGACGAGTCCAATGCACAGCTGCTATGTCAGCAAATCTTCAATGCACCAACCAGGGGAGTGATTTTGGCCTTTCTTCCTGCTATTTGCTTTATATTTATGCTATATATTATTTATAATGTAGATATATATATTATTTATAATTCAGATATATATAATATATAGCTTATATTTATGCTATATAAAGCAACTGGATATGCTTTAATAATTTATTTTGTGTTGAATTAACCAGAATCAGTTTCTGAAGCAAAGAACAGGGAAGAAAAGAAAAAAGATCACTATGCAAACTCTACTTAATATCAGTCTGTGTTTATTGTTGCCAGAGGCAGTTCTCTCAAAAATGTAGAGATAGAGGTCACTTTCTAATTCTAACCATATGCCAAATCATAACCCACATAAAATTATTAACTTTCTTTTCTAGGCTAACATGGCTTCTTTGAATCTTTTAGTCTATGTTTGTAAATAAAATTTGGGGATTAAGACATGAATTTTACAACCATGCAAAATAAAAGCCCTGCTTCTCTAAGGTCTAATAGGTTTTAGCAAATGTGAAAACATATGAAGTCTTGTTTGAAAGTAAAAACATATCTGATTGTACATTTCTGGTGAGACATACCTACCTCTAGTCTTGTCTGTTCCAAGGATAGCTGTTCTGCAAATGCCTTTCAGAATGCACATCAAATTCAAATATAAGTGCTCCTCATAAAGTGGTACAATGATTTTATTATTATTATGAAGAAGCTTATGAGTGACTTTACTGAAATAAAGATGTACTCGTTAATGGCAAAGCCCCAGCTTATTGAGATTCTACATGACTCACCTAGTTGAGATTATAGACAACTTGCCTTAGTAAGGAAGTCTGGGAAATATCTGAACCACCACTAATATGGTTTGGCTGTGTCCCCACCCAAATCTCATCTTGAATTGTAGTTCCCATAATCCCCATGTGTCATGAAAGGAACCTGTTGGGAGGTAATTGAATCATGAGTGAGGTTACACCCATGCTGCTGTACACATGATAGTGAGTGAGTCCTCATAAATCCAATGATTTTATAAGGGGCTTTTTCCCCTTTGCTTGGCACTTCTCCTTCCTGCCATCATGTGAAGAAGAATGTGTTTTATTCCCCTTGATTGTAAGTTTCTTGAGGCCTCCCCAGTCATGTGGTCAATTGAACCTCTTTCCTTTATAAATTAGCCAGTCTCAGGCAGTTCTTTATAGCAGCATGAGAATGGACTAAGACAGTAAATTGGTACTGAGTGGGGCACTGCTGTAAAGATACCCAAAACTGTGGGAGTGACTTTAGCACTGGGTAACAGGCAGAAGTTGGAACAGTTTGAAGGGCTCAGAAGAATATAGAAAGAAGTGGAAAAGTTTGGAACTTCCTAGAATCTTGTTGAATGCTTTGACCAAAATGCTGAAACTGATATGGACAGTGAAGTCCAGGCTGAGGTGGTCTCAGATGGAGATGATGAACTTGTTGGGAACTGGAATGAAGGTCACTCTTGCTATGTTTTAGCAAAGAGCCTGGTGGCATTTTGCCCCTGCCCTAGATATCTGTGGAGCTTTGAACTTGGAAGAGATGATTTAGGGTATCTGTCAGAAGGAATTTCTAAGCAGTAAAGTTTTTAAGATGTGATGTGGGTGCTGTTAAAAGAATTCAGTTACATGTATTTGCAAAGATATGCTTTGGAATTGAAACTTAAGTTTAAAAAGGAAGCAGAGCATAAAAGTTTGGAAAATTTGCAGGCTGAAAATGTGATAGAAAAGAAAAACCCGTTTTCTGAGGAGAAATTAAAACCTGCTGTAGAAATTTGCCTAAGTAACAAGGAATCAAATATTAATTGCCAAGACAATGGGGAAAATGTCTCCAGGGCATGTCAGAGGTCTCCATGGCAGCCCCTCCCATCACAAGCCCAGAGGCCTAGGAGGAAAAAATGGTTTCATTAGCTGGGAGCAGGGCCTTGCTGCTTTGTGTAGTCTTGGGACTTGGTGCCCTGCTTCCCAGCCATAGCTAAAAGGGGTCAACATACAGCTCAGGCCATGTCTTCAGAGGGTGCAAGCCCAAAGCCTTGGCAGCTTTCATGTGGTGTTGAGCCTGGGGGTACATAGAAGTCAAGAATTAAGGTTTGGGAACCTCAGCCTAGATTTCAAAGGATGTATAGAAACTCCTGGATGTCCAGGTAGAAGTTTGTTGCAGGGGTGAAGCCCTCATGGAGAACATTTGCTAGGGAAGTGTGGAAAGAAAATGGGGAGTTGAAGCCCCCACATAGAGTCCCCAGTGGGGCACTGCCCAGTGGAGCTGTGAGAAGAGGGCCACCATCCTCTGGACCACAGAATGGTAAATCCACTGACAGCTTGCACTATGTACCTGGAAAAGCCACAGACACTCAATGCCAGCCCATGAAGGCAGCTTTGAGGGGGGTTATACCCTGCAAAGCCATGGGGGTGGAGCTGCTCAAGGCCTTGGCAACCTACCTCTTGCATCAGTATGATCTAGATGTGAGACACGGAATCAAAAGAGGTCATTTTGGAGCTTTAAGATTTACTGATTGCTCTGTTGGATTTCAGACTTGCATGAGTTCCTGTAGTCCCTTTGTTCTGGTCAATTTCTCCCATTTGGAACAGGTGTATTTATCCAGTGCCTGTACCCTTATTGTATCTAGGAAGTAACTAACTTGCTTTTGATTTTACAGGTTTATAGGCAGAAGGGACTTGCCTTGTCTCAGATTAGACTTTGGATTTGGACTTTTGGGTTAATGCTAGAATGAATTAAGATGTTGGAGGACTGTTGGGAAGGCATGATTGTTTTTTAAAATGTGAGGACATGAGGTTTGGGAGGGGCTGGGATGAAATGATATGGTTTGGCTGTGTCCCTACCCAAATCTCATCTTGAATTGTAGTTCCCATAATCTCCACATGTTGTGGGAGGGATCCAGTTGGAAGTAATTGAATCATTGGGGCAGTTACCTCCATCCTGCTATTCCTGTGATAGTGAGTGAGTTCTCACAAGACCTGAAGGTTTTATAAGGAATTTTTCCCTCTTTGCTTGGTACTTCTCCTTCCTGCCATCATGTGAAGAAGGGTGTGTTTGCTTTTCTTTCCACCATGATTGTAAGTTTACTGAGGCCTCCCCAGCTATGCAGAACTGTGAGTCAATTAAATGTCTTTCCTTTGTAAATTACCCAGTCTCAGGCAACTCTTTATAGCAGCATGAGAGTGGACTAGTACAGCCACTGAAATTCAGAAGTAGGTCTAAGATTTCCCACTGTTGAAAACATCACTGGCTAGGCACGGTGGCTCACACCTATAATCCCAACACTTTGGGAGGCCAAAGCAGGAGGCTCACATGAGTTCAGGGGTTCAGGACCAGCCTAGGCAACGTAGTGAGACCCCATCTCTACTAAAATTTTTTAAAATTATCAGAGCATGATGGAGTATGCCTGTAGTCTCACCTACTTGGGAGGCTGAGGCAGGAGGATTGCTTGAGCCTGGGAGTTTGAGGCTGTAGTGAGCCATGATTGTGCCACTGCACTCCAGCATAGAAGACAGATTGAGACCCTAACTATGAAAAAAAAAGAAAAGAAAGAAAACATAACTTGTTTATCCATTGCCTCATTTAAGAAACACTGTTTATATACGTACCCTATGAAGAGCTAGGGATACAATTCTAAGTACGTAACTTTTCAACCCTCATCATGCTTACATTCTAGTGTGGGAGCTAGGCATATGCAAAGTAAGTGAATTTGGTTGTGACAGTGCTATAATTCAAGTTGGTGCAGGGTACAATGGGACAAAGAGGAAGAATTAATCTGGTTCATTTAGACTTGGGCTGTGTAGTGGGAAAATATTTTATAAACCCTGCTCATATCTTCAACACATGAGTAGACAAAGCCAGCTTTAAAAATTAGAATTTTTTTTGTTTGAAAGGAAAGGAAATCCGAACTTGAAGAGGCTCTAATCAAAGGCTTTTCTTAGAGAAACCTTCTGGTTACAGCCACTCTGTGAGCTGGGGTAACATAGGCCTCCCCCTCACTGCAGAGATGCTGGATAAGATAGAGCAGCAGCAACCACAATATGCATAGCCAAGCTCAAAGTGCAGAGGGAAATGAACAGTCATTCTAATGTTGTATACTCAGAAAAATAGCAATAAATGTGGAATAAAGTTATTTTCATACAAAGACTGTGTTTCCTACTCATGGACCCTTGCTCAATGACCTACTCATGGACCCTTTACTGACCATTAAAATTTTTACATCAGTAGTAAAGGCATGGATCTCAGAATGTAAATGCAAAGATTTAGTTAACATTTGTGTAAATCTGAATAAGCCCTGACTGCAAAAACTAACAATAAAAATGTCCTTTTTTAAAAAATTAAAATGCTGACCTACAACGAGTTTGAAAGAGGTAGGAGGGTGATTTGTAATTAAAGCTTTCTGAAGATCTCATTTTCTTTGGGAATAAAGTAGAGAGATAAAATTCAGACTTTAGTTAAATAAGCATGTTTAAAATTATAAGGGTGACTATTGAAAGTTCTAACTTCTAAACAAGGATAGGAGAAAGAGAATATAAACAAAACTTCATCAAGGGAGGAGATATGGAGGAAAATAAAATAAGCAAAGAGAAAGCATGGTAAAAAATAGCACAAAATAGGCAGTAAAACTGAATCAAGATATATCAGTAATTTTGGTTTTGTTTTCGTTTTTCAAGTCCAGCTTATGTGCTTTAAAGAAATGCATATAAAACGTAGTGATTGAAAAAGTTAAAAATAAGGGGTTGAGGAAGAGATATTTTAGGTAAGTATGAACCTTGTAGAATTACTAAAATTTGCAAAATGTTCTTTAAGCCTAAAGCATTGGAAAAGGTAAAGACAGTTATTACAAACAACTATTACTGAAAAAGTGTCCTGATCCAGACCCCAAGAGAGGGTTCTTGGACCTTGCCCAAGAAACAATTTGGGGTGAGTCCATAGAGTAAAGTGAAAACAAGTTTATTAGGAAAGTAAAGGAATAAAAAATGGCTACTCCATAGGCAGAGCAGCAGCATGGGCTGCTTGTGTAAGAATACTTTATTTTTTCATTATATGCTTAACAAAGGGTAGATTATTCATGAGTTTTCTAGGAAAGGGGTGCGCAATTCCTGGAACTGAGGGTTCCTCCCCTTTTTAGACCATGTAGGGTAACTTCCTGATGTTGCCATGGCATTTGTAAACTGTCATGTTGTTGATGGGAGTGTCTTTCAGTATGCTAATGCATTATAATTAGCATATAATGAGGAGTGAGGATGACCAGAGGTTACTTTCATTGCCCTCTTGGTTTTGGGGGGTTTTGGCCGGCTTCTTTACCACGACCTGTTTTATAAGCAAGATCTTTGTGACCTGTATCTTGTGCCAACTTCCTATCTCATCCTGTAATTAAGAATGCCTAGCCTCCTGGGAATGCAGCCCAATAGGTCTCAGTCTTATTTTACACAGCCCCTATTCAAGATGGAGTCACTCTGGTTCAAATGCCTCTGACACAACCAGAGAAAATATTTATCAGAAACTTAGGGCAATCCTGAACCCACGCACCCAAACTCATAGCTTCAAAATATAAAAAGTAAAAATGGACAGAACTACAAGAAAAAATGTGAAAATGTAATGGTGTCAGAAAATTTAATTTGGATATTAAAAACAAAACTTCCAAACAACTTGTAGGTTGGAGAAAGACTCAGTATATTTTGTAATTTTAAATAAAAGCAAAACACGATCACAGCTTGTAAGATCAATGTTAGCAACAAAAGGAAGCAAAAAGAAGACAAACTAAGGATAGGACCTGTTTGGGAAACCCTGGGACACATGAAGAGAATCATCTGGCCTGATATTCCTCCAGATGTTTTGAACTGAAAGACTTCTGAACTTTCTGAGCCTACAGGAATGGCCAGCCTCTCCCTAGTATGAACCAGTACACCCTGCATTCTGGAAGATGATGCAGAGGCCCCTCTTCCACAAAGTTTTAGGTACCTCTTTCTGGATCTGCCCTTCCCTCTCCTCCTGGGCACTAGGACACTGGACCTATAAGTAGGATTAAGTCACAGCATGACCCAGCTAGGGACTTACTGGGCTTTATAACAAAGGAAAAGAGATATTTCCCAAAGGAGCTGCAAGACCTAGCCAACATGTACTGGCAGAAGCTGGAGAAGTGGCATTTGAGGGGGCCTGCCCTGCTGAGAGTTATGGAGATAGTCAACAGAACACGTTATCTAAAGGGTCAAAATATGAGGGGAGTCAACAAGGGCATTACTCAGCGTCTACCAGTAGAAGACATCAAAAGAGGCCAAGCACAGTCATTCTTTGCCAAATTTTTGGACTTGAGGCAATTTTCAGACTCAACACCCATTGACTGAGGAGTGGCTTGGTCCCCAGGAGGAAAGACTGCCAAACCCCAGTGAATTTATATGCTAATAGTTTTCCCAATCCTTCCTCTGAAACATCTATGGACATTTACTCAGATATTGTGCACTAAGGAAATGGGAACGTCTATGCATTTCAGAGACCATTAGATACTGTGTCTGAGATAATACTTACATCTGGAGACATGAAATGTCATCATAACCATTAGGATGGGGTCCAGATAATAAATGGAATCCTGGCTATGTTCTGATTTATATGGGGTTCGCTAGGTCCATAGATCCATAGGTCCACCTGGTGATCATTCCTCTAATCTGAAGGTACAACTGGGATTGAAACACATGGCAGTTGGTACAATTTCACATTGGGTCCTTGGCCTGTGGGGTGAGATTTGTCATAGTAGGGAAGATGGAGGTCTCCAAATCTCACACCCAGTCTGGAAGTCTTATCACATTGTGGAGGTAGTGATATTGAGGGAGGATGGCAGAGATTAGTGCCCTTAAGGATCTAATGAATCCAGGTTCCGGGGATAGTGTTTCCCATCTTATTTCCATTTAATTCACCAGTTTGTATGCTGAAGAAACTGGATGAATCCTAGAAGATGACTATAGCCTACCACAAACTCAACCAAATAGTAATTGTCAACACAGTCTTGGTGGCAGAAGTGGTATCTTTGCTATAACAGATTAATATGACCTCAGACACATGGTCTGCAGCCACTGATTTACCAAATTTGTTCTTTTCTATCCCCAAAAGGAAAGAAGATTAGAAATAGTTAATAATCACATGGATTGGACCCAAAAAGTTACATTTACAATTATGCTTCACCTCAAGACTGTATTAATTTTCTCATCTTCTGTGACAGTCATACTCCAAAGAAATATGGATCATGTGGTCATCTTTGATCATCACATTGATCCATTACATTGATGGTTATATGTAGACTGGATTAGATGAGCAAGAAGTGGATGATGGAGGTCTTGTTAAATAAAACATACCCACTGCAGAGGAGGGGAGATAAACCCCATAAAAATGTCAGAAACCTGACAGAAACCTATGAGTTTAGGGATTTTAGTGATCAGAGCTCTGCTGGGACATCCTGTCCTGATAAAAATCAAACCTTCGTATCTTACAGCTCTTACCATGAAAAAGAGAGCAAAATAGCTGGAAGACTTCTTCGGGTTCTGAGGCAACATATTCTACAACTAAAAACACTGCGTTGGCTCTTATACTGAATTATGGGACAGTGTGTGAGTTCTATGAATTGGGTCTAGAATGGGAAAGGGCTTATAGCTCATTCAGGTTGGGGTCCAGGCAGCCCTGCCACTTGGACCATGTGATCTGACAGGCCCTATGGTGCTGGAAGTATCAATGGTGAGAAAAATGTCATGTGGAATTTGTGACAAGACTTAGGCAAAGAATCACAATGCAAGCCCTGGAGGTTCTGAAAAAAGGCCATGCCATGTGCAAAGAATTATGTTTTTCAAAACAACACCTGGTGTAATATTCTGCTGAAAGCCATTTTATTTTACTACTTAAAATTAGTTCACACACCAATGTTTCATTTTAATATGAAAATCAGCATAAAATAAGGACATAAAAAAATCCCTGATAAGGGTACTAAAGCAGAAGTAACACAAATCATGCTCAAATGCTGGAGTTGGTGCCCCTTTGACATTATGAGTCACAGTCAGTAGAGGATGCTGTTGCCTTTTATAAAGCTTTTCCAAAGAGCTTTCAAGGACTGTGACCTCTAATAAGGGCAGGAAGGAAAAATGAAAGTGAGTAGCAGGGATGGTGACTTCCTGCTGAGCAAAATAGCAAGGACTGAAATAGCTCTCAGAAGGCAAGGGAGATTATAAGCAGATGGAGGCTTTGGTGTCAAAACTGCCCTGAGAGCAATCTCTAAGGTGATTTTAAAGACAAGGAAACTAGATAATTGAGGTGCTTTTACACTGCTATCTCCTCCAGCATGTAATATAGTCATCATAAAAGTAGACTATTGCTGGATTTTTTTTGTAGCCTAATCTTCATTAAACAAAATTGTCCTAACATAGGATTTTGATCAGGATAACTTTAGATTTACTTCATTGCTTTTTGATGTTTTGGCAAGGTCAGGTGTGTGTACTGAGGTTTGCAACATTTTTCCTATTGGCCCAGACTGTAGGTTTCTTTCATTTGTGCATAGAGATGTGTCTCAGAATATGTTCACAAATCATGATAGAAGTCATCAACACAGACATTTGAACAGGGCTGGGGGGCCTTTAAGAGGGCAGGAGTAGATAATATGAGCCAAGAATGAATACCAGTTCTACCCTTCTCTGCCTGAATTCAAACAAGTTGTTCCACTACTCTTATTTCTTTGTCAGTTTCTTGATTTCTTTGTTTGTAAATTATTCACAGCAGTGGTTTAGCCATCAGTATGTGTTAGCTATTATTCAGCAATTGTTTCCGTTGTCTCGTTGCACTTTCACAACAAGGTTAAGATGTGGGTGGATAAAGTATTTTTGTCATCACTTTAAAGAGGAAAAAGAGGATGTTAGGAGAGTTTGAATTGTATGCTGCATTCTTACACCTAACAAATAAGAGTGGGATTCCAATGCAGCTTTGTCAGAAGTCAAAAACCATGCTCTTTTTTTGGTAGATTGCACCAATGTTTCCGGTGTAATCGTTCACTGGCATGAAGATTACCTGTGCTTCCTGGTGAAAGGCACCTGCCAAGTCAGTGGGCATGCCCTCAGGCCTGGGGTTCTGCATTTCAAACCTGCTCTCAGGTGGCCAGCAGCTCAGCAGCATTTCCTGGGAGCTCATTAGAAATAAGAATCTTGGCCCCAGATCCACTGAATCAGAAGTTACATTTTAACAAGATCCCTAGAAGATTTATTTGTTTGTTAACTTAGAAAGCATTGATCTAGACCAAGAGGTAGGCAAATTTTGTGTAAATCACCAGATAGTAAATATTTTAAGCTTTGCAGTCTCTAGTGATTCTTTTGCATGTTAGTCTTAGAAGTGCAGGTTTGACTCATACTTTCCTCCTTCATGAGGGTAGAGTGGTTCTCTGATGAATTAAGGTCTCAATAGGGACATGTAGGTACTTCTTATCTTTGGACAGACCCATCAACTTTAGGTTCTAAATGCCTGCCTGATAACAATATATCTTCTAGTGGAAAAGCACCTAAGTCTGTGAGCACTGAAATTACAAGTGAGCAAAAGTCTTTGACTCCATGTAAGTCTTAACCACCATTTTTTGGTGATTCTTTGTAAACTCTTAAGTACAGCACAAATATACAGCACAAATATACTGAAACAAGAATCTTAATGTCAGTGTTGATAGGAACACTGTGGGGTTCTTGATGGAATGCAGATGGGCTGCATCACAAGGAACTCTGATTGAAAGTTCTAGAAAAGGCCCAGGAATCTTCCTTGTAAGCCTATCTCACAGGTGATTCTGAAGCAGGTGATCCAGGGATACCTTGGAAAACCCTAGCTCTAGCCACTGTACCTGAAACTAGATTTGGTACCTATGGTAGAAGATTATGAACGAATTCTCAAGAAGAAATGACAGTGAGATTTCAAATGATTTTTTTCTTTTAATTTTGGTGACTGAATCTGATGTCCCCAAGTTTACAAAATGGCTGGATATATCCACTAGAGGTCATGATTGAGTCTATATCAAGACCAGATTACTGTTAGGATTCTCACATATTTTGGTCTCAGAATCACTTTAAACTCTTAAAAATAATGAAGACCTCAAAGAGCTTTTGTTTAGGTAGGTTATATATTTTTATTTAGTTGAGAAATAAAAACTGAGAACCTCTAAAAATATGTATTAATTTATTTTCAAATACCTATAATACACCATTACATGTTTATATAAATAATATATTTTTATGAAAAATAAACATTTTCCAAAAACAAAAACATGATTATTGAGAAAAATGGCAAGTGTTTATGCTTTTGTAAATCTCTTTAATGTCTTGCTTAAGAGAAGACACCTGGATTGTTACATTACTTCACACATCTTGGAAAACTACACTGAAAACTCTGGGGCAGTGAGAGTGACAACTGCTATTACTGTCATAGTATTAGGAAAATAGTTTTGACCTCATAAAACCCCTCATGAGACTCATTTGAGGACCCCAAGATTCCTAAGACCATACTTTGAAAAACACTGCTTAGAATAAAGATAAAGCCAGCATTTCACAACCTGGGGAATAAAAGTCTAAATTTTTTATTCTGGCATTTCAGACCTTTCCAATCTGCCACCAACCATCTTTTCTAATGTTTATCTCCTATTTCTCTACTAGCTAAAATTTGTAGTTATACCAGTTGGTATTAATCTTCTCATTATTTTCCTATTTTTGGGTCTCTGCTCTTGTGTTTTTGTGTCTCTGCTCATTTTAGTTTTTCTCATTGAATCACTCTCTGTTAAATCTTCTGTATTAGCACTGTATCAAATATAAGATTTTTAATTACAAACTTTCAGTTTGAACTTTCTATGTTCAGAGTAAGCTACCTTTCCAGAAATATTTTTCTTACTTTTAGCCTACTGCCCTTGTATTAAATGACATCCTTAAATATTAATGTCTATGATGGTCATTTCAGTATGAATTCTGTTTCCCTTTGCTAAGTTGAAAGTTCTCTGAGGATGCCTTTCTATACCAATCACACTTTGCACAGGTTTTTTTTTTCTTTCTGAACATGTAGCTAGTACTATTTTAATGAATAAATGACAGAAACATTGATTTTTTTACATAAAGATGCTGCTACTGATGTATTTTAAATGAGATTTTCCAAAAGAATAGTCAAACCCTTTACATAATTTCATTAAAATGTCAGAATTTCAAAAATCAAAGAGAATGACTCTTAAGACATGAATGAGTTTATGATATTAATATAGAATCAAAGCTGATAATACATTATTTAAAGTGCTACTTAATTCTCAGGATCACCTTCATTGTATGGCAAATGGAGATGAGCTAAAAAGTGGAACTAAATTCAACTGTGATTTAGAAGAAATTTGGGAACTTTTTTGTAAGTCTTTTATATACAAATGGTAATTTTAGGTGAACATTTCATAACCTACAAAGTGTCATTTGGAAATAGGTTCATACAGACAAGCTGTATATTTCATAATGATTTTCTTTTTATTCAAACCATATAACTAACATAGCTTGTACCTAATTTTATGTTTATGTATTTTTCATGTTGATGTATATTTCTCCAAAAAGTCATACACAAAGTTTATCTGTTTTCTACCACCATTTATTAGGCTGTCCATCTGAAAAGTACCAGTTCTAAACAGATTTGAAACAGCAAAATATTCCCTTAGTATTTAACAGACAACAAGAATGAATTTCTCATTTTCCATAATGTTTTCATCCCTCCCTTGCTGTATCCAGTTTAAGATTTTCAATTGTAAACTTTCAAATTTGAATTTTCTGTGTTCAGAATATTTTTACTAAAACATTTGAATCACTTGAGTGCTTTTCCCATGGTTAAACTACAAGAAAAGAACAGGATTTATACCAAACCGTTCATTCGATCCAGCCAAACTTCCTAAAGAGGGTCCACATTGTAATTTTCTATTACAGTGAAGAAAACTTTGACATTCAACAGATCAGAATTTAAAACTCAGCTTCAAATCTTTGGTAAGTTAGTACAATCGGCCCTTCACATCCATGGATTCAACCAATGGCAGATCAAACACTTTTTTTTTTTTGAAATTGCATCTGTACTAAGCACGTAGAGACTTTTCTTATCATTATTACCTAAGCAATACAGTATAACAACTATTCACATAGCATTTACATTGTATTATACATTATAAGGAATCTAGAGGTGATTTTAAGTATATGGGAGAATACAAATACTACACCATTTTATGTCAAGGACTTGAGTATCTGTTGATTTTAGTATTCATCAGATGTCCTGGAATGAATCTCCCATGGATACTGAGGGATGACTGTATAAATTTTTAAGACTATGCTTCCTCATTAATTAATTATTATTTATTTATTTATTTTTGAGATGGAGTCTCACTCTGTCACCCAGGATGTAGTGCAGTGGCACGATCTCAGCTCACTGCAACCTCCGTCTCCCGGGTTCAAGCAATTCTTTCTGCCTCAGCCTCCAGAATAGCTGGGATTACAGGCGTGCGCCACCACGCCTGGCTAATTTTTGTATTTTTAGTAGAGACGGGGTTTCACCATGTTGGCCAGGCTGGTCTCGAACTCCTGATCTCAAGTGATCCACCTGCCTCAGTCTCCCTAAGTTCTCAGATTACAGGCATGAACCACCCCACCCAGCCCTATTATTATTATTATTTTGAGACAGGGTCTTGCTTTGTCACCCAGGTTGGAGTGCAGTGGCGCCATACAACTCACTGTAGCCTAGACCTCCTGGGCTCAAGTGATCCATCCACTTCAGTCTCCAGAAGTGCTGGGATTACAGGCATGAGCCACCGCTCCAGGCCTCCTCATTAATTTAAAACAAATAAACAAAAAGGATAGTAATATTTACCTTGCAAAATTTTGGTCCCTTACTCAAATAATTATAATTTGTAGGGTACTTTATATGTGTTATCTTTTTTTCTTTTTTCTTTTTTTTGTAAATCATACTAAACTGGCAGCAATGCTAATGGGCTACATGTGTTATCTTATTTAATCCCTGTAACAAACATACGTGATAACTATTGTGATTTTTTTCTCTTCATATAGGAATGCTATTTTTAAACATTTTTTTCTGTTTTATTGCAAATGACTTATATAAAACAGAGTGCACAGATCTTAAGTGTTTAGTTAAATGGGTATTGACAAATGTATATACTCAGTAACTGATACTGCAATCAAGGTTAGTGGTATACAGGCTAATGGTATACCTTGAGCAATTATAATCAACCTGCTCAAGGCTGTATAGCTAATTGTTGAGCTGGGAATCCGACCCTAGGCGGTCTGGTTTTAGGGTTACACTCTTACTCCTCTGTTACACTCCTCCCCCTCTGGGGCTTTTAAATTTGTTCCTGCAGTTCACAGACAGGGAACATTTGGTTTAAAATTATGCAAATCACTATATTTATGATATTTATTTACACTATATTTACATGACTTACACTTATTAGTTTGCACATTTTTAAACCAGGTTTACTGAATTAAGTAGTTATTTTATTAAATGTAGATACAGCCCAAATAGCTTATAACAGATTATCCAATGACAAGAAAGAATTCTCCTTTTATAATCTCTTTCAACTATGTTATTAATCATTTCAGGCTTTAGACCCTTATGCTTGTTTTCTCCAAGCTCGGAGTCCACATAGGCTGATGATAAGAAGTGATAAGTGCTTGCTGGATCTGTATGACTCACAGCATTTTACAGAACATGACAGTTGATACTTTGCAGGCAACAGAGTTTAGCTGATGCACAAATAAATGTTTCTCTGCTTCACTTATAAAGTTTCTCATTGATGCTCTTTGGTTCCAAATGGGGCTTAACGGATCATTTTATGCAGTTTTATCATTTATTTATTTTTAACTTTAAAACTAAGAATCTTCACTTTGAACAATTTTATTTAGGGTGGGACTGTCTCTGGGAAGGATTTGTAGAAATGTAAAGCATTCAACCACATGAGTAATAAATATGGCCTCATAAACTGAGAGCTGAAGATAACAACATAATGGCACTTTGTATTTGAATTATGTTATTCTTCTGAGGTGCTAAAAGCACTTTGTGGACAAATACTGAATATTTAAACTTTAAGATCAATTATAAACTAAGACAATATGCTGCTTAGAGCAATATTTTGTACTTGCTCCAAATCATCTCTATATAAAGGCTTTGAAGGTGAAAAAGCTAAAACAGACAGCCAAGCAAGAGGTTTACTTTGCTCCAAGTATTTATTAGAGGCAATGTGAATATCTTCTACTCCTAGAATGGCAGAAATATGCTGAGAAACAAAGCAGAAAAGTGAGAGACTAGGTTCTCACATCAGAAAATATCTGTGTACAATTAGACAGATTATGTGGTTCATTGTTTTGTTGCTTTACAAATATTATTCTCCTTTGCTGCCCAAAATGGTTTAATAGGTGTATATTTTACCAGATCATACAAATAGGTCCCTGACTTCAAAATTTTACACTTTAGTAGTGGAGATAGACAAATCAATATAAGATAGGACAGAATTTTTAGTAAGTGCCAAAAGACAAGTAAAAACTACATACCAGAAAGATTTAGAATCAGACAAAATCATGAGATCCCGTTGAAGCATAAATGAAGATGTAGGCAGCATTTAAACAGTGACTTGAATCATGGGTAGGATTCTGTAAGCAGATATTTAGGAGTAAATGAATAAATACTTGTCAATTTGTCAAGTAGAGAGAATAACACAAACAAAGGACAAATAGGGGCAATGTATGGGATATGTTAAGGGAGCACTAAGTAGACTTGTTTGGATGAAGCGTAAGCAATGTGAATCATAAAACAAGAGATAACATGGGACAAAAATTTGACATTAAATTGGGAACAAAATTTGACATTACACCTTGTCAGAAAGCCATGGAAATATTTTAGCTGGAGACCAACATCATTGGAGCTGCACTTACCAATGATTAGTTTACAGAACTGTCTAGAGAATTGGTTGTACAGGACCGAAACTAGAAATGGGGAATTAGATGTCACTGTAGTCATCCTAGGAAGATAATCAAATGACTAACCAAAGCGGTGGTTGTGAATAAGAAAAGATAGAACCGAATTCAAGCAACTTGGCAGAAACAGTCAATGAGACTTGGCAACTGAATGGATGAAGAGGGAGACAAATAAAATGAGAAAGATTAATAGATAACTGGGATTTCCACTTCAAGGAGGATGTAGGAGGTCATAGCAAATGAGCGCTTCTACTTTGACCTAGAAAAGCTAAATTAAAAAAAAGTCAAGCCTATTTTTAAAGGCATCACAAAGCCTACCAGCTGAAAAAAGCCCAGGACCAAATGGATTCACAGCTGAATTCTACCAGATGCACAAAGAAGAGCTGGTACCATTCCTGGTGAAACTATTCAAAGAAATTGAAGATGAGTGACTCCTCCTCAACTCATTCATTTATATAAGCAAGGATTACCAGGATAACTAAAATCCCAAAGAGGAAGAACCTTTCTGAGGTGAGCTAATGATCTCCATCTGTTTTTCCTTATTCTTATTCTTTCCTTATTCTTTTTTCCTTATTCTCTGCCAGGAGAAGGAGAGATCAGCTGTGCTTGGATTGGTATGGGAGTCTGCTGTGACACCTTAGAAAACTGGTACTATTCAAATTCACTGGGGCTTTCCCCACAGCATATTTGCTGAACTCTGCTTTGTGCAGAACTTCCCTGATATTATTTTTGCCATTCCATTATTTTCATTTATTTATCATGAGAGTTCTAGCATGATTCACCTAAAATATATATGTGGATTTAAAAAAATGTAATCTTCCAGTCTGTGTCTTTTAAGAGGGGAGTTTATCTTGGCTACTTCTAGTTTTTCAAGTATATATTTATTTCTGCCCTTTTTTTATAACTACATATTTGACTTTTATATTTTAAAAAGTTTTCCCCTTGCTAATTTAGAAGTTAGTTCTGCTATCTCTTTCTACGAGTAGTTAAACTTCATCATGTTGGTTACAATGGTGTGATGGTGTTTTGGATGAAAATATCCCAGCAGAAGAGGGTCCAGAGTTTATTTAATGACAGAGGATGTAAAATGTGAAGGATGTCACCAACAAGGAGTGAGGATGCCACCGGAAGTGAGATGCTCCTTCAGCCATTTTCATGAAGGGCTTTATATCCACATCTCCCTCACCTTGGCTGTTTTGAAGACCAGCCCACTCACCAGCAGCAAATGATATAAATAATTCCCACACATTCCAGAGTGTTTACTGAGATATTCAACAAAACAAAGATAGATTTTCTAAAAGCCCACAGCACTCCTCAGCAGACTCAGGCTTCAGGTTGTCTGAAGTCTGCTCTTGCTACACACTCTAGAACCCAAAATTTAATCTGTCTCATCTCAGTAAGCCTTATCTTTTTCCATTTTTTCCTTTTCAATTTTCTTCTTTGGTTGGTTGTTTTCATAATATTTGTCACTTCTCGATTTGGTGGCAAGATGTCCAATTAGATGCAGTGGAACAGCTCTCACTGAGGGACTGAGATGACTAGCGTGCTCCTGACAGATCGTTAGAGGGAAGGCACTGAGAGTGGATGAAGGGAAGACATAGAAGCTGGGCTAAAGGGGGAGAAAGCTGGGAACGCTGCATGGGCTATAGTGTGCTGGGACTTGTTCCCGGCCCCCAGTGGCTCCAGGGGAACAGGTGAGTTGAACGGGCAAGAAGTAACCCGCTCTTACCATGGGCCTCTAGAACCCATGTGGGAGGAGACCCCTTGACCACCATGGACACTCAAATTGGCATGGAGAGCTGCTTAAAGAAGTAATAGGGTCAGCACGCCAGCTGATGTGGAGCCCAGAGGGTTTGATGTGGGAGCATCTATAGCAGAACATAGCCAGGGACAGCCATCTCCCTAGGCTTTACTTGCTCCCATAGGAGATGTTAGTTCTAACGGAACTGTCAGACCTGAACTCTGCAGGGCGATTCTGCCCATCAGATGAAGCTGGTCCGACTAGAGCACCCTTTGGTCTGATGGCTTCTCCCAGGTCTCAGAATGGCCACACCTGCTGGCAGGGCAGTCTTGGGTGCCCAGGGGGCCAGCACCACAGCTTCTGCACTGGCAGACTGTTCCTGATCAGCAGAGAGCTCCAGCATGGCAGCCCCTACAGCCAAACAACAGCCTCCATGCCCCCTCCCCATACTGCAGCTTCCCCAGGGCCCACGACAACTCCCACACATTGCTTTGCTGGTGCTTTTCTGCGTGGGAGGGTTTTGCTTTCCTTACCCCTCCAGTGCCTGGGAGTCAGTAATAAATAGCCTACCAATCAAAAAAAGCCAAGGACCAAATGGATTCACAGCTGAATTCTACCAGATGTACAAAGAAGATCTGGTACCATTCCTGCTGAAACTATTCAAAGAAATTGAATAGGAGGAACTCCTCCTCAACTCATTCTATGAGACCAGCATCATCCTGATACCAAAACTTGGCAGAGACTGAACAACAACAACATAAAGGAAACTTCAGGCCAATATCCTCGATGAACATCAATGTAAAAATCCTCAACAAAATACTGGCAAACCAAATCCAGAAGCACATCAGAAAGTTTATCCACTATGATCAAGTAGGCTTCATCCCTGGGGTACATGGTTGGTTCAACACATGCAAATCAATCAATGTGATTCATCACATAAACAGAACTAAAGCCAAAAACCACATTATTATCTCAAGAGATGGAGAAAATATTTTCAATAAAATTTAACACCACTTAATGTTAAAGACTCTCCATAAACTAGGTTTTCAAGAAACATACCTCAAAATAAAAAGAGCCATCTGTGACAAACCCACAGCCAACATTCTACTGAATGAACAAAAGCTAGAAGCAGTCTTCTTGAAAAGTGACACAAGACAAAGATGCCCTTTCTCACCCCTCCTATTCAACAAAGTATTGGAAGTCCTGGCCAGGGCAATCAGGCAAGAGAAAGAAATGAAGGACATCCAAATAGGAAGAGAGGAAGCTAAACCATCCCTGTTTGCAGATGACATGATTCTATATCTAGAAAACCCTGTAGTCTCAGCCAAAAAGCTCCTTAAGCTAATAAACAACTTCAGCAAAGTCTCAGGATTCAAAATCAATGTGGAAAAATCATTAATATTCCTATACACCAACAACAGTCAAGCTGAAAGTCAAATCAGGATCATAGCTAACTGGGGAGGTGAAAGCTCTTTACAGGGAGAACTAAAAACCACTGCTTAAAAGAAATCAGAGCTACTCAGAAGGCTGAGGCAAGAGAATGGCCTGAACCCGGGAGGCGGAGCTTGCAGTGAGCCGAGATCGTGCCACTGCACTCTAGCCTGGGCGACAGAGCAAGACTCCATCTCAAACAAACAAACAAACAAACAAACAAAAGAAATCAGAGATGACACAAACAAATGGAAAACCATCCCATGCTCATGGATAGGAAGACTCAATATTATTAAAGTTGTCATACTGCCCAAAGAAATTTACAGACTGAATGATATTCCTATCAACCTACCATTGACATTCTTTACAGAACTAGAAAAAAACATTTTAAAATTCATATGGAACCAAAAAAGAGCTCAAATAACCAAGACAATCTTAAGCAAAAAGAACACAGCTGGAGGCATCACACTACCTTACTTTAAACTATACTACAGGGCTACAGTAACCAAAACAGCATGTTAGTGGTACAAAAACAGACACATAGACCAATGTTACATAATAGAAAACCAAGAAACAAGCCCATACAACTACAGCTATCTCACCTTTAACAAACCTGACAAAAACAAGCAATGGGGAAATGATTCCCCTATTTAATAAATGTGCTGGGATAACTGGCTAGCCATATGCAGAAGCTTGAAACTGGACCTCTTCCTTATACCATATACAAAACTTAATTCAAGATGAATTAAAAACTTATGAAAGACCCAAAACTGTGAAAACCCTGTAAGACAAACTAGGCAATACCATTCTGAACATAGGAACAGGCAATGATTTCATGACAAAGATGCTAAAACCAATTGCAATGAAAGCAAAAAATTGACAAACGGGATACAATTAAAGAGCCCCGGCACACCAAAGGAAACTATCAACAGAGTAAACAGACAATCTAAAGAAGGTGAGCAAATTTTTGCAAACCATGCATCTGACAAAGGTCTAATATCCAGCATCTATAAGCAACTTAAACAAATTTATGAGAAGAAAATAAGTAACTCCATTAAAAAGTGGGCAAAAGACATGGACAGACACTTTTCAAAAGAAGACATTTGTGGCCAAAACTCATATGAAAAAAAGCTCAACATCACTGATCATTAGATAAATGCAAATCAAAACCACAATGAGATACCATTTCACACCAGTCAGAATGGTTATTACTAAAAAGTAAAAAAAAGTAACATATGCTGGCAAGGTTGCAAAGAAAAAGGAATGCTTATACATTGTTGGTGGGAGTGGAAATTAGTTCAACCATTGTGGAAGACAGTGTGGAAATTCCTCAGACCTAAAAACAGAAATACCATTTGACCCAGAAATCCCATTACTGGGTATATACCCCAAGAAATATAAAGTATTCTATTATAAAGACACATGCAGATGTATGTTCATTGCAGCACTATTCACAGTAACAAAGACATGGAATGAAATTAAATGCTCATCAGTGGTAGACTGGATAAAGAAAATGTGGTGCATATATACCATGGAATACTACGCAGCCATGAAAAGAATGAGATGTCCTTTGCAGAAATATGAATGGAGCTGGAGGACATCATCCTTAGCAAACTAACACAAGAACAGAAAACCAAATACTGCATGTTCCCACTTACAAGTGGGAGCTAAGTGAGGAGAACACATGAAGACTTAGAGGAAAACAATAGACACTGAGGCCTATTGGAGGGCAGAGGGTGAAAGGAAGGAGAGGATCAAGAAATATAACTAATGGGTACTAGGCTTAATACCTGGGTGATTAAGTGATGTGTACAACAAACCCCCATGACACAAGTTTACCTGTATAACAAACCTGCACATGTACCCCTGAACTTAAAAGTTTAAATAACCTGTCAATTCTCAGCCAGGCTATAGGGAGGAGAATGTAATCTCTCAATTAAACATATCAAAGTGTTTGATGCTTGTTATTACTGGAATGATTTGTCTTCTCCTAACCTCTTCCATTTTCAGTAGATATTGGGCACTGGTCACTGGACTGTCATCAATTGGTATGACTTCTCTCTAGCATACTTTGCATTTTTTTGTCTTTTTTGAGTATCCTCAACTTTGAGTCTGTCACAGATTCAACTGAAGCCTTCTCCAAGAGGGTCATAAGTTATACTATTATTTCCAGTTCAAGTAACTTTCTTATTAGTGTATTTCCTCCTTTCTGCTAAATTTAGTATACCATGCTAAAATGGACATATTAAACAATGTGTTCAAATTACAGTGTTTTCTACAATTTTCAAGTTTATATTTCCCTTTTCAATAACACTGGAGTTGTATCTAAGTTTACTGTGTCCCATTAAGTATGCTAACTATGTAGTAAAAAGGAAATTCCAACCTTTTCCAAAGATAATCTAAATACTACACAAGCATTGAACATATGCTAGCTCAGAGAGCATCCTGTTCAATAGAGAAGGGAAATGAAATGGAAGACAGAAACAAACATGGCTCTTAAGATTTTACCCAAAACTTGCTTCTAACTATTCATTTTCATGAACATTATAATCATTTTAAAGCTTTTTTCTCAAGTAGTCTTAGTTGTGTGTTCTGGTTTCTTAAAGACATTTGGACATAGATGTAATTATTAAGAATACTATAATTATGAGTATATGTCAGTCTAGTCAAAAGCAATGAAGCAAGAATGCTAGAAAGTACAATTAAGTTGACTTCAAGAAATGTCAGTAATGTTTACAACTTTGCCCAACAGTACAAATTCAGACAGTTTTTTTAGGTCACAATATTTTTGCATTGTTGTATTCTACCAGAGGCAGCTCATAAAGACACGTGCATATTTAGATTCTCTACCACTGTGGATGATACCTCCGACAGAGAAAGAAGCTTTGACCAGGTGTGAGAAATTTCATTTGCCATTCGCAAAAAGGGAAGTCCCCTTCCTGACCTGCCTGCTCTGCAGACCCTGGTTACATGCCTGCAGTGAAGAGCAGCTTCCCAGGAGCTACCTTCCTTTTTCTGATGCTGTAATCAAGCACATATTTCTTCACCATTCTACAAAAAGAAGATACTGACACACTGCCCACCACACCAAGGCGTTCTTGTTCCTAGCTCTGCCTTTCTTCACTAAGACTTTCAGTACATTTTTACTTCCCCATTCTCCCACATTGACAGAAAAGACCTTTAAGAATATGTAACTTCAACCGTCTCACCCAACCACATCTCACTAATTCCTAGAACTCGCTAAACCAGCTAATGCTTTTAATTCCAACCTACTAGTAGGTTTTCCCTTTGAGCATCTATTTTAAGTATCCTGGTTTAATATTAGACTGAGCCATCGAAATTGTTGATATTCAGTCGTTTTTGATATACAAAAATGGCAATTTCCTATGATTCAGTCGAATACATGATGTGTTCCCATTCACTTTATTACCATTTGTTTTTATCTGTAGATTCCAAGTGTCTTTGGAGCATTTTCGTTTATCCTGGCATCTCTATTCTCCATTTATTGTTGGATTTGAGTCCTTTCTTGGAGTCCTCTCCTCTATTAAGGATATAAGTGACATACACTAAGATAGCAGGTTTGTGGGTTGGGTGAGGGGACAAACTCTAGAACTAAATACCAGGGCACAAACCCCAGCTCTGCCACACTCTAGGTGTATGATCTTATATACGTTCTTGAACTTTAGCAGAAAGAGAATAGAACCCATTGCAGTTGGGTTAATATGCATGAACAGTGTTTGACACAGAGTAAGTACTGCAAAACTATGTCAGATCCATATAGATCAGCAGTTACTTTCTTTCAACATACAGGAAAAGAATATTTTTAAAAAATCATTACTGACAGTTTATTTGTATCTTGCCTGACCTCTCTGATTGGATGTCAATGTCCGTGGGCTTTTAGAGATCCCTGGATGATGGCCCTGCTCAGTGACCTGCTTCACTATGAAATTGTTGGGAAATCTAGAGTATGTCTATGAGGCAAATTCCATTTACTACTCATACATGTCAGTCCATTTTCCCAATGCTATAAAGAAATACCTGAAATGGACTAATTTATAAAGAAAAGACGTTTAATTGGCTCACAATTCTGTAGGCTGTGTAAGCATGGCTGCAGCATCTACTTCTGATGAGGGTCTCCAGATGCTTACAATCATGGTGGAAGGCAAAGAAAGAGCAGGTGATGTCACTCGGTGAGAGCGGGGGCAAGAGACAGAAGGGAAGTGACATACTCTTTTAAACAACCAGGTCTCATGTGAACTCACAGTGAGAATGGACTCATTACCATGAGAAGGTCACCAAGCCATTTATGAGGGATCTATCCCCATGAACTAAACACCTCCCACCAGGCCCCACTTCCACCATCAGGGATCACATTTCAACATGAGATTTGGAGGGGATAAATATCCAAACCATATCATCATATTCAAGGGAAAATGACTTTTCTGCTGATATCTAGCCAAGAATTCGAGATGTCCTTAACACAAAAGAAATGGAAACTTGCAAATAAGTGCCTTGAGAAATTCAGTGTTGTTTAAGACTGAAAATAAGACAGATAAAAAATTTAATTAAATAAAGATTCTTTTTAGTCATTAAGTTTTAGAATGGAGAAAATTCTGTGTGACATTTCCCTGCTGTTTCATTAGCACTAATGTCTCACTGGGTGGGGTATTAGGATAAAATCCTAAGCAAATATTTTCAGTATTGCAAGAAGAATGCTAAGTCTGCTGTTAGAAGAAAATGAAGAAAGTCAAAGAAGGAAAGACATTGAAGCTTTTGTGACCTGTCTCTGCCATGAATCTGCAGGGATTTGAGAATGAAAGAGGGATTCAAGAATGGCTCAATTAAAAAGTTACATTAAGAATATTTGGTAAACTAGAGTCTTGGTGGGTGGTACATTAAAAGGGAAAAAATCATGGGAAATGAAGATAAGTGCCAGAGAAAAAAACAGAATTGGGAAGGAGAAGTAAACATTTAGAAAATAAATATTTAATTAGTAAGTTGGTAAATCCACTAAATTTAAAAAAAGAGATTAATATCAGTTTCAAGAGGACAGTTTGAAGAGCAGGCTGTATCAGCAGTCACACCTAAAACAGGGACCGAAGTCAAAAAAGGCATGGGAAAACAAATCCTGTGGAACTTCCCAAATCTCATTTCAGTCGAAACTGTCCAGTTTCTCTTTTACTTTTTTTTAAAATCTTTTGAAAACAATGACCAGGGGTTTATCACTTTCAGCTTTACCATTTTACGTTACAGGCTAATGTCCATACTGATGAAGGAAAGACTGTGCTGTAATAGATAAAGAGTTCCTAGAATCTAGATGTTCAAGAGTGACCAACGCTGAATTGAAAGAGTCTAGCCATGTTGGACTCACCAGTAATTAAGGAAGTTGTCTCTAGTGGGGTAAAGAGAGTATTTCCAATAAGTCCGAGTTTAATTCATAGATTCAATATTATCTTTGCAATTTGGCGGACTAATTTCTTAGGTAGAGAGTACTATTTAATAGGTTATGGGATAATAGACTAAGACCCTATGGGACAAGTCACTCTACAGAAAATAATTAGAAAACCTGGAAGCAGCACACAAAGCAATTGCGCGAAAGTACTAAACGGTGAACAGAAGAAGGCAGATCTGGTGGGGAATCCATGTTTGCTTGGAGATGGGAACTTGGGGAGTTCCTTAAGTAGGTTTCCCTCTCTACAGCTTTTACCTGGACTAGGTGCAGACTAGGGGAATACACACCAAAAAGCCAGTCTTTTTGGCAAGGGGAACCAGAAGCATGTAGACACAAAACCCTAACCATTAAAGAGAGCAGGTGAATCTCACAAGGGTAAGGGCCAGACAAGAATCCTCAAATTCTGTCTGGCTGTATTTTTCACTGTCTCTTGAACCAGATAGGCATAAAACAGACTCAAAGCAGCCCAGCAAAAGGCAAAAGAGCTGAGCTGAGACACGGGATACCACTGAAAAAATCAAGAATGTTTTGAAGTTCAAATGCAGCCAGGAAAATTACTGACTAAAACAAAATAAACCACATCCATCAAAGAAAAATAACAGAATCCAGAACCTCCACAACTTAAAATTCATATTGTCAAGAATACAATCCGAGATTACCCAAAATATGAAACAAAAAAAGAAAACCGGCAAAAAGAAACACATTCTCAAGAGAAAATTCATTGAGACTGAGTCTAAGATGAATTGCGTGTGAGAACTGTCAGACAAGAATTTTGAAGTGATATTATCCATATCTTCAATAAAGTAAAAATAAGCAAAAACCATATTTTTAATGAATGAAAACTCAAGGGAATAATGGTAAATTCAGTGGAGATATTGAAACCGTAATAAAAGAGCTAAATGGGAATTCTAGAATTGAAAAACAAACTGTATGAAATAAAGAAAATTTAAACTAATGACAAGATAGCTTCATGAATTGGAAGACTCAATTTTGTTGACACAATAGTCTTCTCCTAAACTGATCTATATATTTGATGTAATCCTACTCTAAATACTAATAGACATTTTGAAAAAATTGATAAGCCAATGTAAAAGTTTATGTGAAAGGCGAAAGACCCAGAATTCTTTAGGTAAGTGAAATTGTACATGCTGTCTACTAGTGGGAATATATAATTCTTAGTAAGGAGAGATAGTGCCATTCCATTTACCCAACCACTCAGCCATCTAGCAAAAGTAGATATCATGTAAGAAAATGTTTTATGGATGAAGGAAACGGCTGCACAATGCTTCTGTTCTAAGTTCCATAGAGAGATGAGGAGCCACTCTCATACCTTTAGTCCAGAGCATGTTAATACAAATAACATAGTTCTAGTTTTGTGTGGTATGATTTGTGTGTGTGTGCGTGTGTGTGTGTGAGAGAGAGAGAGAGACAGAGAGAGAGATTGAGAGAGAGCAAGACACAAGTGGAATTCAGCACATGATAGGCTCCTCAGAAAAGGATTTTCAGGGTCTAACATGGATGACAATTCTTACTGATATGGTTTGGCTGTGTCCCCACCCAAATCTCATCTCGAATTGTAGCTTCCATTATCCCCATGTGTCTTGGGAGGGACCTAATGGGAGGTAATTAAGTCATGGGGGCAGGTTTTTTCCATGCTGTTCTCATGATAGTGAATAAGCCTCACGAGATCTGATGATTTTATAAAGGGCAGTTCCCCTGCACACATGCGAGACATGCCTGCTGCCATGCGAGACATGCCTTTGCTTCTCCTTTGCTTTCTGCCATGATTGTCACGCCTCTCTAGCCATATGAAACTGTAAATCCATTAAACCTCTTTTTCTTTATAAGTTACCCAGTCTTGGGTATGTCTTTATTAGCAGCATGAGAACAGACTAATACACTTACCTAATAATCCCTCTGAAGATTCACTATGCCTATTTACTTGAGGCATGGCTCTGATATTTACTGCAGATCCAAACCTATTTGATGTGGTATTTCAGCATACAAACAGAAACTTTGGGAAAATCATTTGTATAATATGTAAAATGAAGATGATTCAATAACTTTTAAAAGCTTGGTCAGTTATTATCTACTGATGGCCTTCTGTTCTTCCTAGGAGGCATAAAACAGCAAATTAGGAATGGTAGGATTGTTGCTGATGTGAATTTTTTTTTAAATAGTCATCTTGTTACTGAAATAACAGATTTTTAAATGCTGTGGACATATAAGGTAAGGAAATAGAGTGTAACAGTTAAGAATCCAGATACCAAAATGGTTATAGGTAACATTAGAAAGAATAAGGAGAGATAAAGAGTTGGGCGTAGTGGCATGAGCCTGTAGTCCCAGCTACTCATGAGTGGGAGAGTCCATTGAGCTCAGGAGTGTGATACCAGCCTGGGCAACATAGCAAGACCCTGTCTGTAAAAAAATGTGGTGAGGTAAAATTACAAAGTAACTGAGCTGTATCATTATAAGATTTCTTAGGATTTGAACTCTTATATAGCATTTAGGTGAAAAGCGTTTAGTTACACTAATTTACTCAAATTGATTCTGATTTTAATGTCTTAGTCTACACAAAGGTTCTAAAGATCAGTAGGCTAACATAATTTAGAAGAAGGGCATAATGATTGAATCATCTATACCCTAAATGACCAGCCTGATTAGTAGAGAGTAGGCTTTGCATTGAAAATGAGTAACCTACGAGGGAAAAAAGGAAATATTAAAATTTAATGTATCTAGCATTTTCAAGGAAATCAGCCTTTAATTCCCTTGGCCAATGTCCAGAAGAACAGTAGTAGACTGTCAAATATGCCTTGGATTTAATTGGGTACCCCACTTTAAAAAATATTTCTGATCTCTGGATCATGACAATATAATGTTCAACTGGATCTTTTCTCAGCCTATATTTTTCCAGACTGCATTTCTAATCATTTTGGTCAGACCTCATTTGGTAGCCCACATAAATCCCTAAAATGATTTTTAGTTTGTCTAGCACTTTTTCAAATGGGATTACATTTTTCTTCAGCAGGCCAGATGTTCCAGCGTTTCTCAGGGAATAGGCCAAGAACCATCTACATAGAAACGTCTGGGGTTCTTGTTAAAAATGTACACATCTAGGCCTAGCCAAAGGCCCTGGCAGGGAATCTGCATTTTCAAGAAGCACCCTTGGTGATATTTATACTCTCTTAAGATTGAGAACGTTTGAACTATTGGATGACGCTGAAAGGGCAGCTAGACAGTGATCACTGATCTTTACTTGTCCAGAAAGCAAACTATGTGGTGGCTGTTTTCTGCTTCGTCCTGGGTCAGACTTGCTGGTTTTTCAGAGTCAGAATAGCGGAGAGTTAAGAAACTTGATCAGCTTTAGAGTTGGATTGCCAGTCAAAACACAGGATACTCAGACAAATATGAATTTCAGGTAAACAACAAATAATTGTTTAGTATATGTGTGTTCCAAAGATTGCATGGGACGTACTTATGCCGAACAATTATTTGTTGTTCATCTGAAATTCGAACAACTGGATGTCCTGTATCTATATTTGTTAAATTTGACAACTGTCCATTTTAATCAAAAAGGTCTGGGTTTGGATCTGCCACTTATTAGTTGGTAACCTTGGAAATTTTTATTCACCTCTCTAAACTTCCATTTTCCAAACCATGAGATGAAGCAGTAGCAACAACAACAACAAAAACCAAACAAACAAAAACTCCACAAAAATCTGCCTTACTGGGTTATCAGGAAAATTCTACTATATTTATTTTATAATGTAATCTTTCTACATGTTGCATCTGGCATATATTAAAAGCTTAATGATATGTAGCTGTTCTTGTTATTGTCATGGCTAATATGACACATTCCAAAAAGAGCTTCTAAGCCTGGTTAACAAATATCGATATCATTTACAAATTGACAATGTATTATATTAATTTTTTTCACCGAGTGCATTAATGGAACATATAAAGTAGCTAATTCAATGTCCCACCTTCTGTCCACTCATTTCCTTCTCATGTTTTGTTCTTTACCTTTATTGTATCATGAATTTAGGAACAAAGCATGTGAATATATGGATTTTTTTTTTCACTTGCTTTCTCTGTGATTGTAAGTTTTAAAACTGACTTAGGACATTTTTTATGTTATTTATTTATTTATTATTTTTTGAGAAGGAATTTCGCTCTTGTTGCCCAGGCTGTAGCGCATTGGCACGATCTCGGCTCACCGCAACCTCCACCTCCCGGGTTCAAGCAATTCTCCTGCCTCAGCTTCCTGAGTAGCTGGGATTACAGGCTTGTGCCACTACGCCCTGCTAATTTTGTATTTTTAGTAGAGACGGTGTTTCTCCATGTTGGTCAGGCTGGTCTCGAACTCCTGACCTCAGGTGATCTGCCTGCCTCGGCCTCCCAAAGTGCTGGGATTACAGGTGTGAGCCACCACGCCCGGCCCTGACTTAGGACATTTAAGTAACAGGCTGGTGCAAAACTAATTGTGGTTTTTGCCACTAAAAGTAATGGCAAAAACCACAATTGCTTTTGCACTAACCTAATAGTTTGTTCCCTATTTTTTTAAAATAGTAATATCAGACATTACCTTTCAGAAATAGAGGTAAGTTCATTATATTTATGCAGGAGTGTCAGACCAAGCTCTTCAGTTATTAAAATTGTCAGTGTTTTTTTATTTCAAATATCAACGGTATCAATGAGTATGCATATTTTACGCTTCTCTTTTCTTGTTTGCTTAAAACAATTATTTTGTTGAAGAAAACTCTTCTTTCTAAATAATGTTGATAAATATTGCCAGTTATTCTGAATCTAGACATCTTACCAGGTAAAGAACGCATATGCCATGAAGTCTCATATGGCAACCTACTTATTCATTCTTGAGAAAATAATCACTTGTCTACTGGAAAAATGGGCAAGTTGGAAATTCAATTAGGCAATTTTGCAACATGACATACTTTTGAAGAGCTTTGTGGTTTTACACAATATTCAGGAGAAGATTTTTCCTTATTTACAATGTGTATATTCTTTCTAGAATCCATAAGCATTGTAAATAGCATACTTTAGGTTCTAAATTATTTACGAACTTCTGAGTACAAACATAGAGATAACTCAAAATTAACACCTATAAAATTCAACCATTTAATTTTGACAGAAAAAGAATTGCAGAACTAAATGTAAAACGTGATATCATTTGTATGTGCTAAACAAGGACGTCAGTTCAATACAATGCTCATAGATATATTTAGGTTCAGTAAAAAGACAAAGACTGCCAGTAGGTGGTATATGACACATTGTTCTTATTGTCATGTAGGCAGAATTGGCACTTCCTTCTGCAAAACTAACATTGTTCAAGTATGTGGCCATACAAGAGTGACTGAAGATATGGTCCTGTCATCCCTCACGGAATTCCTGTTATGTCGTAGGTGTTATCCTAGTAGGCATGGCACTAAGCAGGTGTAAGGATAAAACATTTGCTTTGTCATATGTTGCATAATTTTTTCCCTGTGATTTGTGCCAGCATTTTAATTTGCAAATTTGCTAACTTTCTTTCTCTACTACCAGTCTTCAGCCTTTATTCCTGACATAATACTCAGAGTAAAAAGAGTAAGGATAAAATATACAGATCAGAAAATAGACAATCTAAAAAAGTTTACTCCAAATATAATTTAATTTAAAATGCTTCCTCTGAAAAATACTGAATATAATTCTTTAGGCTACTTCCTCCCTTTTAAACTATGATGCCACCATATATCTGTAGCAACAAAACACATGTTTTATTTTACAGCATGAACTTCTTTATAACATTGCCTCATGTATTAATTTCAAGTTTTTGGGAGGAATAAAAAGCACTTTTCTTTGTTCCCATAATTTTTTCCATTGTTTTCCTATTAGATTTCACCGCATGCATAATTATGAAAAATATGTAATTCTAAAAATATACTAAAGAAATGCTACATACATGTATCAAAATGGTTTTACAATTTTGGGAGACCTATAAAATCTTAGCCAGTCTACCTACTTTTAGACATAGTGTGGAATACTTTATTTCTAGAGGCAATTCTAATTTTTAATCCTCTGTTTTCATCATATGACTTTAATGAAGGCTAAGTAACCAGAGTAGAGGTGAAAAGGCCAGACCACTCTTAGTTGTCTTTTTCAGGTCTTGAACGCTGTAAGTCACCCATGATTCTCAATATGATTTATTGGGTTGACAACAAAACAAAACAAAACGCTTCTTCAAAGTCCAAACTTATGTAAATAAAGTGCAGCATTTCAGTCTTATGGATATCTCCATGTCGTGGATTCTTTTAAACAAACCCTTTAAAGGAGTTGTTTTAGGATTTTCATCAAAACAAGAGTATCTCCTAAACAAAGTGTACAGTTACCCTGAAGACCTGCTCTAAATTCTTAAAGGAGTTTTCTTGAAGACCTAAGGAGAGAGAAAGGAGGGGTTGAGATGTGAAAATCCTGACAGATACAGTGTGAAGATGAGTATTAATTATACCTTCCATTAAAAAATTATTAGAATGAATTTTGATTTACAAATAAATGGTTTTATCCAGTAGTGCATAATTAACTTTTCCTAATTGGACAGGGCTTATGCAATAGGGTAATAATAAATAAACAAAGGAATTAGCAATATTTCATGTTAGTCTTTCCTGAGTTACTTCTTAAAGTTCTGCATCCTCATAGCCATAAAACAAATTCTAAGACTCTCTGTAGAAATCTCTTTGACCTTGGGCCTCAGCTTCGTAATTTTTTATTCTGAGCCTTTTGGTATCACACAGAGAAGAGAATCTTTCTAGGAATTATTTTGCCATTCAAATATACTGGAAAAGTGGCAGTATTGCTTAAGTACAAGTTTTTTTTTTCATAGAAGAGAAACAGTTTGCTAGTGTGTCATAGCTAGGGAAAGAAGCTGAATTGCAAAGACAGCACCTTTATTTCTTCACACCACATTATTTTCTAGCATTATTAGCTTTAAATACAATTGCAATTCTGACAGCAATAGACAAGCCAGAAAAAATCTACCTCTATCTTTTAATTTCATAGAAGACAGTACTGACTTTGGGAAAATATCTGACAATATCTTTAAGAATAAATCAGGTGGTTTTCTTTTGTACAATAAAGTTTATTTTACAAGACGAGAGCTTGATAGGCCCATATTGGTTTTGTTTATCCTGGCTGTGGGGAAGGGCTCTGTGCTCTGTTTCTGATAAATTTCTCCTTGTTTTGAGTTATGACAGATATTCCTTTGAATATGCTATATGAAAATATTCTAGCAGCAAACCAAGAATATCTAACCTTATTTATGTCTGTATTCTGTTCTTAAACACAAACAGCTGTGCACACATACATCTGTCTCATGTCTGACCAAGTACTGCTGTCTAGGACTTCATATACACAAATAAATGTTCCCCCTTTTATGGGAAATCATGGCTGGCACAGCAGGAGTTTTGAAACCCACATGCATTTTTCAAATCTTACTTGAACAAACAAAAAGAAGAAAAATACAGACAAACCAGGTTTGGAATTGCTGACTTTAAAGTCAGTACAGAATGGCTGAAGAATTCTTATTTTGAAAAAATAAAAAAACAAATAGTATGTATGAAAAAAATTACAATTTGACAAATTTGAGCCAAAGTTATGCCTTTTCTAAGAAAATGGAAAAGTAATTCTAAAGTCTTCATTAGGGCACCTTTCTGTATGATCTTAGGAAAAAAACTTGCTAACTAATGAGTAGTGTGATCAGACGAAGGAAACGGTTGACACATTTCTTAGTTCCATTATTAAGCACTTTGAGAACTCATAGGCCAAGCAGACATTCAAGAAGTTCCCCATTCTGATGATAGGATATGCATTTATTTTTCTTTCATTCATTGTGCTTGAATGTGTTCCCTAACTTTCTCTAATAAATATGAACTGCTTTTATAATTACTAAAAAAAGTTTTTAAAAATTAGTTTTCCATACTTTGCCTAGAGGTTGATAGATTAAGCTAACTGTATAAAAGGAAATGCTCAGCATTTAAAATATATATATATTACTATATTAATATAGCTTTAGAAAATTTTTTTGTTCTTCATTTCACCTCATTTGGAAAAGCAAAATCACACTGCCCTGGAGAAGTGATTTCAAAATGATATGAGCAAATGGAAGCAAGTGGCAGAATATATAGTGGCAAGTGAGATGCCAAGAAAAGCTCCTGCAAATGCTACCTAGTTCTTGATCATTGCTTTATTTATAGTTATGTTATAGTCAATGGGTCTGTTTTGTTTGGAGTATTCATTTATACATTAATCTGCTTTGTTTGGAGTATTCATTTATACATCAACTCTACATTTCAATACCAGCCAAGCAATATATGTAAGGAACTTTGGAATATTCTCAAAAATTCATAGTTACTTCTATTCTTATTGCGAGCTCAAGATGGCAGACAGGGCACATGTGTTTAACATACCTTCCTCTTCAATACCATTAAATTGTAGTAATGGTATACTAAAGAAAATAAGGCCACAACAGTTCAGGAACATCAGTGGCTCAGAGACTATGAGAAATCTCAGCTGAAAAACAGATATGAAATTTAAATTTTTTGAAGGATAAAGCAGTGGGAATCCATTCTTTCTGATAGAGCTTCTAATAGCTCTGTTTTGGGCAGGTATGGGAAGAAAGAAAGAGCTATCATTTGATTAAGGACTTGGAGGCTGCTGCAGGAGGATCACTTGAGCCTGGGAGTTGGAGGCTGCAGAAAGCCATGATTGTAGCACTGCAATCCAGCCTGGGATACTCTGTCTCTAAAATAAATACATAAATAATAAAAAAGAAAAAAGGACACAAGTTGTCAATTCAGGAAAAAAGAAGGAAAAGGAAACCATAGAGAGCATAAGCCTTCTCTGATTATCTTGGAGACAAAATCAACTTGCAGTCCTGATGGTTATTCTGCCCAACGTCCATGTGAAAAGGTGTTCAGTCTCAGTAGTGTCGGTGCTCTGCAGCCAAGGACCACCAGGAACACAACTCTGGTTGAACAAGTTGGGTTGATTACTTGTTATGCTGAGGGAGAACACTCACTATGGTAAGCTGTGAGGCATCTCAGCTGAGATTTGTTACGGATTTAGGTTCATGTTCAGTGATTTGGGTGAGGGTTTTAAAAGTATAGCTGACTTTGTTATGAATTGGATGCTGTTTGGAAGTGGAGTAATTGTATGATTGGGTATTTTATTAAATACTATCTAGAAGGAAGGAAATATAGAATGAGTCAAAAGGTATAATTGGTAAAGAAGCAGCACTCATATTAGTCAGGATAGAGGTGTGATTGGTAATTTTTGCTGGTTAAACAGTGTCCATATTTTTGTCTATTTTCAAACATGATTATATAGTACTCCTGCTTTATGTCCTGATTTATCACAGCCACAGATGGCCTTGTTTGATGTTGATGTTGTATGAAATTGTTTACATTCAACTTGAGAGAAACAAGGCCTAACTATAACAGGAAAAAGATGGAAACAACTTAGATCTCCATCAGCAGGAGAAAATACATATCAAACAATATAAAGCTTAAAAAAATCAAAATAACATATAGAGCATATAATTTTTAAAAATCGACCAAAATTATATATGCAAAACAGAATGTTTAAGAAACATACATAACAAATAATACATTGTTAATGAATGAAGAAAATATATTTTAAATATATATCTCTATATAAATATATTGATTGATGAAAGTATAAAATATTTATGAATATAATAAGTACAAATTTAAAATAGTGGTTAAATCTGGGACGGAAAGAACGTGAACTGAGGAAGGGTACACTGTGGGCTTCGAATTTGAAATACTTCATTTAAAAAAGATTTTTAAGAAGTTGTGTCAAAAATGCCAATATTTGATGAAATTGGGCTGCAGGCACATGAATAGAATGTTTATTTCATTATTTTTTATGTTTGATGCTTGATTTTTCTCATAATTTTGGAGAATTAAATCATAATTTCAGCAACTCGCACATCAAAATATTTTGGAATATTCTGCTTCAGCCTCTATTTCTTTGGAGAAAATCTACTCAGAGCTCCCTATGGTGAAAAATAACACCCTTCCAAGAGGGAACTGTTCAACTTATGTGAGCATTAAAGGTAGACTTTAGATAGGGTCTAAATAGAATGAGTTTGTTCCTGTCCTTGAAGTCCTTGAAGAAAAAGGAAGAGGAGGGGAAGCAGAAAAGGAGAAGATCCTAACGTCTAAAAACAAACAGATTGGTCAACTACTTGCCAATCTGAGTTATGCAAGCCTTTTAGAATTTCAGCTAACATATCCCGTTTATGTCATTAGCAGATACAAATGCTCCCCCAGGTAGTAATTTAAATGTGGTTTAAAACACTTGTATGAAGGATTGGAATTATCAGATTAACGCGGCAGGGTGGAATGTTAGCAATTCAACTGGTCTGATCCAGTCCCTGGATTCATCTGGTTAGGCCCTAACAATATGTATTTTCAGAAAGTTGGAAAAATCATGAAAATCCACTCTAGTGACAGGAAATGTTATTTTTTGTATAATCATAATAAATCTCACTTTCTGGAGTGAAATACCGCTTCTCAAAACAACATCTTTAATATGTGAAACTTTTCTTTTTAATTGAAGATTTTAAAACTATTTTCCTTCAATACCATATTATGTTTAGGAAAAGTAGAGTAAGCTTACAAGTTGATCTGGGCCCTGATAGTTGCTGATCACTTGTTTCTTGTTTGTTTTTGCAATTAAAGCTGCTTAGCTTTTACTTTACTTTGAGTCTAGGTACGGACAGATTTTTTTGTACACTGTTGAGTATTACTTCACTATCAAAGAAAACTGAAAATCATTATGAGTTCATTTGCAAACTTTACTGGCAGACTTGACAGGTTTCAGGCCATATATTTGTGAACCTGAATATCTGAGACAGGTCTCAGTTAATTTAGAAAGTTTATTTTTTTTTAATTTTTATTTTTATGTTTTTTTAGACAGAGTCTCACTCTGTCACCTAGGCTGGAGTGCAGTGGCACAATCTCGGCTCACTGCAGCATCTGCCTCCCAGGTTCAAGTGATTCTCCTGCCTCAGCCTCCCGAGTAGAGTAGCTGGGACTACAGGCGCACACCACCATGCCCGGCTAATTTTTGTATTTTTAGTAGAGATGGGGTTTCACCATGTTGGCCAGGCTGGTCTTGACCTTCTGATGTCAAGTGATGCTCCCGCCTCGGCCTCCCAGAGTCTTGGGATTACAGGCGTGAGCCACTGCACCCAGGCAGAAAGTTTGTTTTGTAAGATTGAGGACACACACCTGTGACACAGCCTTAGGAGGTTGTAACAACATATGCCTGAGGTGGTCAGGGCACAGCTTGGTTTTATACATTTTAGAGAGACATGAAACATCAATCAACATATGTAACATGAAAAGATGAACATTGGTTAGGTTTGGAAAGGCAGGACAGCTTGAAGCAGATGTCGGGGAGGGGCTTCCAGGTCATAGGTAGATAAGAAATAAATGGTTGCATTTTTTGAGCTTCTGGTTAGCCTCTCCAAAGGAGGCAATCTGATGTACATTTATCTCAGTGAACAGAGGGGTGACTTTGAGTAGAATGTGAGGCAGGTTTGCCCTAAGAAGTTCCCAGTTTGACTTTTCCCTTTAGCTTAGTGATTTGGGGGCCCCAAGATCTATTTTCCTTTCACATATTCATAAAATGTTCTAAGCAGCTTTTTCTGGTTTAATTCAATATTTTAAAAAATCGATTTCTTTTGGTTTTCATAAACACTTGAAAAAGTAATGGTATAAAGTTTAAATTTCTGAGAAAACACACAGCTTATCTGTTGTGATTCATCCAAAATCTTATAAATGGAGCTGATTCCAAAATATATTTTTAATGACACAGAAGAAAGGCATTAAAAGTGCTGAAGAGAAAATATTCATAACAATTATTAAAGGTGGTAAAGAAGATGTAGGTGCCAAGGGTCCCCTGAAGATTCACTGAAAAATCAACTAGTCAAAGGCAGATTAATTCAAGAAAAGGCACACATATTTATTCAATGTGTATACACAACAGCCTTCAGAATGAAGACCCAAAGATACAGGGAGAATTTTCTATTTTTATGTTTAGGTTCAACAAAATATGGACAGCCATGTAGAAATACGACTGGAGGAAAGGGTATGATCGAATGCTAACAGACTGAATGGGAATCCCAGCAAGGCCTGTCTGTCTAGGTTTTTCTTGGCCTCTCTGAGCAGCATTCCTTCCTCTGGGCTTGGGGCAGGACACTTTCTGAAATGAGGGTCTTATGACCTACAGTAAAAACAGCATGGGTCAGATCATTTCTTTATGGCCAGTCTTTACACAGAAAGGCAGAGGGAAAATTAAAGTACTATTTTAAGGTTGTATTAGTGGCTTTGGGGAAAAGGCATGCTGGCTTCCATAACTCACCCTGGGGAAGAGGGATTCTAGTTTCTATGGCTGGCCTTCGGGGAGAGGGGGACTGAGAGACAGGAGGATAGGAGAAGGTCAGAGAAAAACTTTTGCTTCTGAGGCCTTCATTTTAGGGTATTGTTTTCTGAACCTCAACAAAGACTTTATTCAAGAGGGAATACTGCAAGGGGAGTTTTGCAGTTGGGGCAAATAACAGGTCCAACTGCAAGTATGCCAAGGACAAGTGGAGACTTATAGCCAAGGAGCAGGATGGGAGTCAGGGAGTGGAAAATTACTAACAGGAAACAACAAGGCCAGGTGGCTTCTGGCTAAGTAGACCTGAAGGGTTTGTGCTAAAGGCTAGGGCCTTCAGGCTAGGGCCATAAGATATCAAGAGTAGGGAGAGGAATTTGATCAGAGACCAAGATGGCAGATTTTCACTAAACCAGCATGGAAGGATTCTTGCTGAAACTAGACTTAATAGTCCAAGATCAGAGCCCAAGGTCAGGCCTAGTGAAAAACAAAAGGGGACTCAGAGGAGCCCACTTCTCTCCTTTGGAAGTAGAGAGCCTTTGTTAAAAGTTAGCGCAAGTAGACCTTGGGAAGAAACCATGTTAGGGCTTGGAGCATTTGGAACAAGTAACGTAAAATTTAAAAGTCTAGACATTTTAGCATGGCCTATGAGGCTCTTCATTATCTGGCCATGATCTAGGCTTTATTTCTCTCACCAACAGCTCCAAGAACTGAAAGGAATAAAAGCATTATCACTGAAGGACAGTATTTCCTGGCAGTCAGTAGTCATCTGTCTCAGGGAAACTTAAAACCATCAAGATGACACTCTGTGGTGAAACACCAATGGGAGAGGAACTAGCAGGTGACTCTCCCTTTCGGCATCTGCAGTGGTAAATCAACAAATAACAGCCATGGTTTCTTTCACTTTGTGCTTCTAGACATCAAAAGTTATAATAAAATGTTTATGTACCATGGTCATGGACAAGATGTTTCTAATAGTTTGCTGCTTTGTAACGACCTAGCAGGAATGCCTCTAATACTGTTTGGTATGGAGCGGCACATGAGCTTGGCTGAACTCTGCACAGTGTATAGCAGAACCCTCAAAACCCAACCACACTGATGGAGCTGAAGAGTATCTACCAAAGAGGGACTTAAAAGATGTGTGGATGAAGAATAAACACAAACAGTACTAAAATTATTTATTTGCACATCTGATGTATTCTATAAATACATGTGGGCATGGAATGGTTTAAAGTGAGAACTCTGGATTCAGACTAAAGTCAGAATTAGGATCCAGCTCCTCTCTATATTAGCTATCTGATCTCAGAAAAATCACTTTACTGTGCCTCAGTTTTCTCATCTATATAATGGGGATAATAACAGGCTTCATCTCATAATGTTGTTGAAGGGATGAATTACATTTTTAGTGCTTAGCATAGATCTTAGCATGAAAAGAGGTAAAAAAATTCACCATTATTATTATTATTGTTATTTTAATCTTCACAGCCCACCACACTACCTGGTGCATAATTTATCCTTAATAAATATTGTAGAATTAATTTCAAAAGCAAATTATTTTTCTTTTAAGTTTTCAGATAGGCCTAGATAGAAACCAATGAGTGGGATATCCCCTCCCCATTTGGTAGCTCATGGTGCTGCTGCTCATGAAATTGGAGCCAGGATATAAAGAAGGCTTGCAGCGATGGCTACCTAATCTTCTCTAACATTCTCTGCTGCTTTAGGATGATGTATGGTAGCAGCATCTGAGTAAGTCTCTAGCTTACAAGTCAACTAAGCTTAAAAAGCCAAGAGTAGCATGCCAAGTTGTGTGTTGCAAATATCTGGTGCAGAATTGTAACTTTTACAGAAGATTTGAGAAGAGCCTAAGGATGCATGCAGTCATTTTGAGATGTTATAAGGTCTTTTTACTTGGAATGTTCTTAAAGGTAAGCAATCTTGGTCATGGCCCATGGGGGGAAAAATGTGTCTTCAACAAAAAACAAACAATCCCATTAAAAAGTGGGCAAAGGACATGAGTAGACACTTTTCAAAAGAAGACATATGTGGCCAATAAGCATATGAAAAAGTGCTCAACAACACTAATCACTGGAGAAATGCAAATGAAAACCACAATGAAATATTATCTGACACCAGTCAGAATGACTGTTATTAGAAAAACAGATGCTGATGAGGTTGGGGAGAAAAGGGAATGCTTATTTTTATTTACTTATTTAGACATAGTCTTGCTCTGTCCCCAGAATGGAGTGCAGCGGCACGATCTCAGCTCACTGCAATCTCTGCCTCCCCGGTTCAAGCAATTCTCCTGCCTCAGCCCCCTGTGTAGCTGGGATTACAGGCGTGTGCCACCACACCTGGCTAATTTTTGTATTTTTAGTAGAAACGGGGTTTCTCCATGTTGGCCAGACTGGTCTTGAACTCCTGACCTCAGGTGATCCACTCGCCTCAGCCCTGCAAAGTGCTGGGATCACAGCTGTGAACCACCGCGCCTGGCCCGGAATGCTTATACACTACTGGTGAGAATGTAAATTAGTTCAGCCACTGTGAAAAGCAGTTTGATGATTTCTCAAAGCACTAAAACAGAACTACCATTAGACCCAGAAATCCCATTATTGAGTGTATACCCAAAGGAATATAAATTGTTCTACCATAAAGGCACATGCACACATATATTCACTGCAGCACTGTTTACAATAGCAATTACATGGAATCAACCTAATGCCCATCAATGGTACACTGGATAAAGAAAACGTGGTACATATATACCAAGGAATAGTATGCAGCCACAAAACAGGAATGAGGTTATGTCCTTTTCAGCAATATTGGTGTTGCTGGAGGTATTATCCTAAGTGAACTAATGCGGGAACAAGAAACCAAATACCACATATTCTCACTTATAAGCGAGAGCTAAACATTGAGTATACATGGACACGAAGAAAGGAACAATAGACTGGGACCTACTTGAAGGCGGAGGGTGGGAGGAGGGCAATAATCAAAAAACTACTTATCGAGGGCTGGGCGCGGTGGCTCACGCCTATAATCCCAGCACTTTGGGAGGCCAAGGTGGGCAGATCACCTGAGGTCAGGAGTTCCCCACTAACCTGGCCAACACAGTGAAACCCCATCTCTACTAAAAATACAAAAATTAGCCAGGCACGGTGGTGCATGCCTGTAATCCCAGCTACTCGGGAGGCTGAGGCGGGAGACTCGTTTGAACCCAGGGGTGGAGGTTGCAGTGAGCTGAGATCACACCACTGTACAGCCTGAGTGACAGAGTGGTCTCAAAAAAAAAAAAGAGTAAAAAAAGCAAAACTGCCTATCAGGTACTATGCTTATTACCTGGGTAATGAAATAATCTGTACACCAAATTCCCCTAACATGTAATTTACCTGTATAACAAACCTGGACATATACCCCTTGAACCTAAAATAAAAGTTTAAAAATGTGTTTTCAAGACATTATACACTGTTGTATATAGTGTACTGGTTTATGGAATTGTCAATATTTAAATTGACTCTAGTCTTCCAGAATCAATGTAAATATTAGCAATTGTCGTATTCCAGTTGCAGAACAGAGTGAAATAAAAATCAGGGTCAATCGTAGGTTTCTACCACGAAAGCAAATCCTTAACCTATTCTGAGAGGTAAGCCATGTTGGAAGTGTGAAGCAAAGTCATTTTTCTGAGATGACAGGAGAATCCAGGGCCAAATAGAATAAAAGTTACAGTAAGTAGTATGAGTAAGAGCCAAGACCAAGAACCACTTAAAGGTGAAAAGTTAATAGAGAATGGGAATTGGGGAAGAAAACATAGTTGGTCCAACATAACTTCCAGTTGGCAGAAATCTATTGGGTTTCAGCTCCTTCCAGCAAGTGGAGGATATACCTTGAGTGTTTAAGCAGTATCCTCTACTATCAATCCAAGAATGACTTAGTCTGCAGGCTAGAAGAACTCAGTGATTGCTAAGAATGACTTTTAGTCACCGAGAAGAATTACAGTTGATGGCTAATGATGTGGAGCCAGGCACCATGAGTTTAAATCCTGGTTCTGCAGGTTGTTAACTGCATGACTACCGACAGCCTTTTAAATTCTCTATGTCTCAGTCTGCTCAGCTGTATAAATGGGAATAATGATAATGTCTACATGATAGAGTTGTCATGAGGATTCAATGAGTTATCTACAACAACATAGAATATCTGGCTTGGTGTATAGTACGTACTCACTATTAGTTGTATTATTACTAATATCTGTGAAAATCAGGGAGTTTCACAATACTTGATGTATGGTAGTATTGGAATTTTTTAAAATCAGTATTACCTAAAAGGCCTAAAATTCAGTATTGGAGTCTGCTGTCCTGCACTACCTACTTGTTCCTCAGTTTAATTCCATTTGTGTCTGGCCTTTGTCCCAATTCATTTGACATTTATAAATATATTTTTTCCCATTAAAAACTTAAGTCAAATATCAATCAAACAAAATATATTCAAACCACTCATATATAATAGTTTTGGCAGATAAGACCAATCGTTTCAGATTATTTTGAACTCCCTTTATTGGAAGTTTTGTTATTCTAACATCTTTAGATTCATAATTGTTAGAATTTTAAAATTATTCTGGATCATACATTGGGTATAGAAGAGTAGCTAGAACAGAAAACCATTTTTAGAATTTCAAACCATTCACAAGACTTCCATATAAGCTAACGGATGAGTATAAGGGATGACGTTTATGAGGAATGTTTTAACAGAAGGTTTTACTTCTTACCTTATTTCCTCTCTCTTCCCCAGCTCATCTCTGTTGAATTGACTCATGGGCTCTTTCGCAAGCTGTGGCCTGTTCCAGTTGTGGAGCCAAGTCTGACTGGGGAAGGAAGTAATGTCAGCCAAGTCTTCTGAGGGGGCTTCATAGTGAGTCACACTGGCAGAACAGCCAGGTGTGCTGGGGCCAGAGTGGGGCCCCAGGAGCTGCATCACCTCTGGGCTCCTCCCTCCCACCCACTCCTGGGTTAGCTCAAACTTCTGCCTCTTATTCCACCCCATAGAAAACTTTGTGAGCAGAACAGTCTCAGAAGTCTCATAATTCATGCCTGTATGCTCATGTGAATGAATATATTACTTTAATATGCTGCATTCGATGACAAACTGTGTCAGGTAGGGTGTGTGAGTGTGTTGGGTCATGGGCATTGAAAGGAAAATAGAAAACTCAAATGACTGAAGAAAGTTTGAGGATATGGTTTGGTTTAGGACAGGGGATCATCAGGGTATACAGTTAACTTCTCATGAGTGGGATGATATAGTAGCCCCGCAAAACTGACATAAAAAGTTTCATTTTATGTTAACCTATTTTTCTCTGGGATAACTGACAATTTGATACAACGTAAGATTTCCTGAAATCTTTCTGAGAATTCACTGTTAATGCCATACTGTAGACATTCATTATTCACTCAACTTTATTTACTTTTTTACTGAGTGTATCCTCTGTGCTGGGCATTGGGGAAATAAGAGTGAGGTTAATAGCACCTACGTGATGAAGCCCAGAGTGATGGAGAAAGAGCTACCGGAATATAGAGCAGGTGCATGTCACCTTTCCTGGAGTATGGAGGACTAGGGAGACTTGCCCACCTAAGGCCTGGAGGATGGATAAGAGAAGTGGTCTGTCCGTCCGTCCTTCCTTCCTTCCTTCCTTCCTTCCTTCCTTCCTTCCTTCCTTCCTTCCTCCCTCCCTGCCTCCCTTCTTCCTCCCCTCCCCTCCCCTCCCATTATTCCTCATTCCCTTCCCTTCCCTTATTCCTCATTCCCTTCTTCTCTCTCTGTCTTCCTCTTCTTCTCTCTTTCTCTTTCTTTCCTTCTTTCTTCCTCTTCTTTCTTTTTTCTTTCTTTCTTTCCTTTCTTTCTTTCTTTCCTTCTTTCTTTCCTTTTCTTCTTCTTTCCTTCTTTCTTTCTCTTTCCTCTTTCTTTCCTTCCTTCTCTTTCTTCTTTCTTTCCTTCTTTCTTTTTCTTTCTTCTTTCTTTCTTTCTCTTTCTTTTTTCCTTTCCTTTCCTTTTCTCTATTTTCTTTTCTTTTCATTTCTTTTCTTTCTTTTGAGACAGGGTCTAGCTCTGTTGCCCAGGCTGGAGTGCAGTGGCACCATCTCGGCTCATTGCAGTCTCGACCTCCTGGGCTCAAACTATCTTCCCATTTCGGCCTCTTGAGTAGCTGGGACTACAGGTGTGTGCCATAACGCCCAGCTAATTTTTGTATTTTTTGATAGAGATGGGGTTTCACTGTGTTACCCAGGCTGCTCTCAAATTCCTGGCCTCAAGCAATCTGCCTGCCTCAGCCTCCCAAAGTAGTGGGATTACAGCCTCCACTCCACTGGCCCTATCATTCATTCTTTTCATGTTATTTATTGAGCACCCACTGTTACAGTTCTGGGGATACAGTCATGAAGAAAAACAATCCAAAACCTCTGACTTCATATCACTTATATTCTAGTGATGAGAAAAAAGAGAAAAAAAATTAATGTAGGTATTTTAGATGATGATAAATGCTATGAAAAAAATCAAACAGAGAAGAAGGAATAGGATATCTTGGGAAGGGGGTGGATACAAGTGAGACAGGGAAGGATTGCCTGAGGTGAATTTAAGTAATTTCCTGAGGGAAGAGAAGGGAAGTACTTCAGGAAATGACCTGAGGGAACTAATGCCTGTCTGAGGAGGGAGTGCTTCAGGCAGAGGGACACACACAGCTGTGGAGGATCCATGGGGAGGCCAGCATGGTTGGAGCAGAGATTGTGATAAAGAGGTAGTAGGTGATAAGGACAGAGAGGTAATGGGGAGACCAAGCTCTGAAGGGCCCTTTGGTCACTGTCATACATTTGGTTATTACTTAGCATGAGCTAGAAGGACACTAAGATTGACAAAGCCTACTTACAAGATCACTTTGCCTGCTACGTTGAGAACAAAGCCTGTAGGTGCACTGCTTGGATGTCTATTGCCTATCAGGGGCTGTGATATGCTTTGGCTGTGTCCCCACCCAAATCTTTTCTTGAATTTTAGCTCCCATGATCCCCACATGTCATGGGAGAGACCCAGTGGGAGGTAATTGAATCATGGGGGCAGGTCTTTCCTGTGCTGTTCTTGTGATAGTGAATAAGTCTCATGAGCTCTGATGGTTTTATAAAGGGCAGTTCCCCTGCACAAGCCTCTTGCCTGCCACCATGTAAGACGTACCTTTTTTTTTCTTGAGATGGAGTCTCATTCTGTTGCCCAGGCTGGAGTACCATGGCACGATCTTGGCTCACTGCAAACTCCACCTCCTGGGTTCACACTATTCTCCTGCGTCAGCCTCCCGAGTAGCTGGGACTACAGGCGCCCGCCACCAAGCCCAGCCTAATTTTTTTTGTATTTTTAGTAGAGACGGTGTTTCACCATGTCAGCCAGGATGGTCTCGATCTCCTGACCTCGTGATCCACCCGCCTCGGCCTCCCAAAGTGCTGGGATTACAGGCGTGAGCCACCGCATCCGGCCAAGACGTGCCTTTGCTTCTCCTTCAGCTTCTGCCATGATTGTGAAACCTCCCCAGCCATGTGGAACTGTGAGTCCATTAAACCTCTTTTTTCTTTATAAATTACCCAGTGTCAGGTATGTCTTTATTAGCAGCTTGAGAATGGACTGATACAGGCTGTGATGGTAACTGTGCCAGCTAGTCATGGAGAGAAGCTTGAACTAATTTTGTGAAGTAGTATGAATGTTTAGTGACAAACATTGATTGTTGACTATCCTGAGGTCCTTATTCCTCATTCTGTCCATCACCCCTGATGTTAGTTTAGGGATCCAACTCTTTCGTATTCTCTGACCAGGTGGTTTGATGGGTCCCATTGTGTAGCTAAGAAATGGAGTTGTAACCTAGGCCTAAACCAATGAGCAAGGTCCATCCTCTTCTAGCACAGGTTCATGGATGAGCATGCAAATCAAACCAATCAAAAAATCCGCAACCCAAGTGGATGTAAGAACTTTTTCGCATAGGAAACACTCTTGTGGGATAAACAGAAAGGATCTGCTGTGGTCATCTTATGATGACTTTGGGATTGAATATGAAACCATACCAGCTTGCTGTTTGCATCTACAGTCATCATGCAGCATCTGTGGGAAATTTATTCCCCACCCAAGAGGACACCAAAATTCTTATATGAAATTCAAATTCTGATATAAAATGGTGTTATATTTGCATATAACTTATGCACATCCTTCCATATACTTTAAATCATCTGTAGATTACTTATAATACTTTGTATAATATAAATGCTATATATATAGTTGTTCATTGTATTGTTTATGTGTATTTGATTGTTGTTATTTTTATGGTTTTTTTCCCAAATATTTTAGGTCCTCAGTTGGCTGAATCCATGAATGTAGAACATGAAGTTATAGAGAGCAGCCTACATTTTTTGTTTGCTTAAATTTGGGGGGAACATATGTAGGCTTTTACCTTTGTCAATTTTTAAATATTTTTTCTGTAATCTACAATAGAATAGCAAGCTTTTAAAAATAGTTTCTCATGCTTAGATGGTGTTTATTGACAGATGGCATTGTATTTAGTAAAAGGAAAACCAACAGAAGACAAGAGGGACTTCAAGAAATCCTCCTTTACTGGGACAAAGATGCAAATCATTGTACTATTGACCAAAGATCAAAGGGACAAAAAACAAGAAAAAGAATTTGAAAGGGTCAAAAGGAACATCCAGAATACAGAAATATAAAAATTGGTTTTCAAATAATTAAGGGTTCTGCTTGCCTAGCTCAGAACGCAGAAGAAGGGTGTTTGCCTCTTCTAAAATGTGAAAATTTGAAAATACTTTTACAGGAACCAGAAGAGGTTCAGAGATCACCACTCAGCAATGTAGGCAGGCTGCATTTATAGACAGAAATCGCAAAGCAGGTACAGAATCAGCTTCATTGGTTACGGTTCTGCATTTGCCTTATTGGGGCATGATCTGATCACTTACCAGCCTATGATTGGCTGACACTCAGCTGCTGTCGTTGGCTGAGATAAAGAAGTTACCAAAAATATACTGTACTACTAAATTAGGCTTTTAGTTTGTCTACCTACTAACATAGGTTGTAGTTCATTAGAAAGGGGTTGAAGGTACAGAGGGCAACCTTAAGCCAAATTTAGTTTAATTTAATAATATGTTACAGAATTGAGATTTACTTAATATTAATCACAATTACCATTAATTAATTCTAAATGTCAGAAATTTTACATGAGTTTTTCTAATTCTGTTAACAACTCCTCAAAATTTGTATTATTTTTCCTGTTTTTATATAATAATTAAAATTAAGGCACATAGAAGTAAGTTAATTGCCCAATGTCAAACAGCTGAAAAATGGGAGATTTGGAGAGGAGATTATTTTTTGCTAGGCACTGCACTAAACACTTTACATTACTGAATTTAATTTTTACAACAGTCTTTTAATGAGAAGGAAATTTAAGAAGGAGTTAAATAAAAACAGAGGCAGGACTCATCCCAGGCTGCCTGACTCCAGAGTTTGTAATCTTACCAATATATAGTTTATTGTCTTCCTAAATGACTTCTGAATTTCCCACTTGAGAATGTTTAAGCTTAACATTGGTCGTATCCTGGTGTATTCGTCTGTTCTCACACTACCAATAAAGACATACCAGAGACTGGGTAATTTATAAAGAAAAATAGGTTTAATGGGCTCACAATTCCATGTGCCTTGGGAGTCCTCACAATCATGGGAGAAGGCAAAGGAGGAGCAAAGTCACATCTTACCTGGTGGCAGGCAAGAGAGAGAGCATGTGCAGGGAAACTCCCCTTTATAAAGCCATCAGATCTCATGAGACTTATTCACCATCACAAGAAAGCATGGGAAAGACCTGCCCTCATGATCCAGTTACCTCCCACCAGGTCCCTCCCACGACATGTGGGAATTATGGGAGCTACAATTCAAGATTTGGGTGGGGATACAGCCAAACCATATCAGTTGGTTTCTAATTGTTAACTCTCAAACAAGTCCATAGTGGTTATCCTTCAATCAAGATTGCAAGATTAGAACTAAAGAATGAGCACTTCATACTATGCCCTGAAGAATTTTAGCATCAAAACTGATGTGTGCCTGCCTCCAAGGGATTAGTATGTCAAGGCTTGATAGTCTTCAAGTCCTTCCCTTTTCCACAAAATACCTTTTGGATAGTCTGATACTTGGTTGCATGTGTAGTGGTTAATATCACAAGCATCGGATTGAGGTGACCTTTGGTACAATAGCTAACTAGCTTCAGAAATTCTTAGTTATGTGATTTTGGCCAGTTAGGCCATTTCTCAAGTCTGAAAGGAATTCTTACCACTGGAGAGGATGATATAGTTAAACCTGTTTCCCATTTGTCAGGTTCATGGTTTCCCAACACAGTAAATGTGAGAAAACATAGTGGCAAACTTATTGCAGGGGATTATTTCATGGTGGCATCAATAAAGGTCAAAAAATAAACCTAACTAGGAAAGTTATATCTCTTAAAAATCATCTAACGTATTTAGAAGTTTGTTTTAGACTTATACTTTTCTATGAACCCTCAAAATCTATAATAGAATAAACAATATGCTTTTATTATTAAGATACAAATTATTAGTATTTGTATCTCTAACAGTTTTCAGAAGACCTACTTAAATGATGATATACAAACAAATTCTAAACTGAGAGTAGATTGAAAGGCAACCTAAATAAAGTATTCAAAAATTTTTTTTATCAAAGAGAATTATCTTTTTCTGAGTTGCACATAAGGTTTTTTTTAAACTATTGTTGTTTTATGCATTTTTGAGGCAATCCAAACCAAAAGATAAATTGCAATTGAATTATTTTGCTCTGAATTTTATTTTATCCATTAGTTGAAAACCTTTATAAATGTTCTAGAAAGAAATATCATTGTGACCTTTTCTTCCAATCCTAGAAAAAATGATTTTTTAAATTAAGATGATTATATCTCAGCCCTAATAGTAAGTATTAGATTTTCAGGGGCTGATAAAATTGGAAACTTAATTTGGAGTCTCATGTTTAGCATAGCTTCTTCTCCTTCTCCTTCTCCTTCTTCTTCTTCTCTTTCTTCTCTCTCTCCTTTTTCTCCCTCTCCCTCTCTCTCTCCATCTCCCTCCCCCACCTCCTCCTCCTTCCCCTTCACTTTCTCTTTCTTTCTTCTTCTGCTTCTGAAACAGGGCCTCACTCTGTTGCCCAGGCTGTAGTGCAGTGGTACAATCTCAGCTCACTGCAGCCTTGACATCCTAGCTCAGGCAGTCCTCTCACCTCAGCCTCCCGAGTAGCTGAGACTACAGGAATGAGCCACCATGACCACCTAATTTTTAAGTATTTTGTAAAGATGGGATCTCACTATGTCTCCCAGGCTGGTCTTGAAATCCTGGACTCAAGCAATCCTCCCGCTTCAGCCTCTCAAGCCTCCCGAATTGCTGGGTTACAGGTATGAGCCACCACACCCAGCTTAGCATAGCTCCTTAAGTGAATCTTTTCTCTAACCAATTTTTGTTGTTGTTTATAATTTTTTCTCTTTTATCAAAACCTATTAACCTTGTAGGACCAATAAACAAATTCATAAAAGTTCAAGTGAAGAAATTATAGTGGTCTACCATTAGGGTTCATATTTCTTAGGGATCAGAGAGCTTAAGGGTAACAAAAAGAATAATAATTGTGGAATTTCAGGAATTACACATTCTTTCTACAAATATTTATTGAAACTTTAGTATGTTAAGAGTGAACAGTGGTTGAGATCACAAACTCTGGAGCCAGAGTGCCTGGGTTAAAATCCAGGTTCCACCGCCTGTGTGTTTCCGAATGACCTTGAGCAAGTTACCTGATTTTCTTGCCCTTGTTTCTTCACCTGCAAAACAGGAATAGCAATAACACTAATCTAATGTATATTGAAGGTGGTTCAGAGAATTGAATGAATTCATGTAAGTAAAAGAGTTAGAACAGCACCTGCCACATGATGAGGGTTATGTATATAGTAGAGAGCTAATAACACTATCACTTCACTTATGAGGATAAACTCGGTGTGGTCGTTGCCCTCATAATGCTAATGACAGGTATTTTACAGTGCAAAATTGATATTCATCAAAGGATTATTATGTTCCAAGTACAATAGTAATAATTTTATATTTATTGTACTATTTAACTCTCATAACTATATCAAGGAAGGTTATACTCTTTTCAATTTAGAGGTAAAAAAAAAAAAAGAAGGGTTACAGTGGTAAAATAATTTTGCTGAAAGTTCAGCTAATAAGTAAAGAAACCAGAATTCAAACCAAATTAGCAGTTATTTCACTACCCCAGGCTGGTCATTTAGAGAAAATACATCAACCATTGACTTATTAGGAAAACAGATAGCATGGTGATTGAAAGAATAGATTCTGAAGACACATGGTGAGGATTTGAATTCTGTCTTCACTACTTCAAGTGCTAGACTTTGGGCAGTTTACTTAATTTCTCTGTGCTTCATTTTTCACACCTATAACCTGATGATAACATCTCAACACAGAGTTGATATAAGGATGGAATGAGATAAAATATAGCCAGTGCTTGATTTGTACTAAGTGCTCATGTTTAAAATAATTCATGAAAATTGGACAGTATGAATACTTTTCTATTTCTCTCTCTGACTTCATGTTCCTAAGTGTCAAAGCCAAGTTTCTAGAAATTATGATAGAGGCTCTAGATGATTATTTGGCTGATTGAAGAGAAATTGACTTTCATTCTTTATCTATAAGGACCACAGCATTCTAGTTAGGATTGATATTCAGTTTGTAAGCACCACTGCTACAAACATATCACTCATTCAAAATACTGAAATGTAGAGCTTCTGTACCAGATGGTAAATGGTTTAAGATATTGAGCCCACTTGTCACCTAATGAAATGCATCATGAGCCCTGGTAGTTTTGCCTGCTGGTGAGGGGGGCCTTTGGAAGCTGCAGACTTGTCTGAGAGAGGAAGTGGCATAGGTATCTGCAGTGCTCATCTCTAGATCCAGAGGTGCTCATGATTGATAGGCATGTGACAGAGTGGATGGTAGTAATAACAGTAATGCTGGCCGGGCACGGTGGCTCATACCTGTAATCCCAGCACTTTGGGAGGCCGAGGCAGGCAGATCACCTGAGGTCAGGAGTTTGAGACCAACCTGGTCAACATGGTGAAACCCCATCTCTACTAAAAATACAAAAAATAGCCAGACGTGGTGGCAGGCGCCTGTAATCCCAGCTACTCAGGAGGCTGAGGCAGGATAATCACTTGAATCTGGGAGGTGGAGGTTGCAGTGAGCCAAGATTGCGCCACTGCACTCCAGCCTGGGAGACAGAGCGAGACTCTGTCTCAAAAAACAAACAAACAAACAAACAAACAAACAAACACTAGTAATGCTGATGGGGTCAAGGAGTAAGCTGTCTGGATCTACACTCAGCATGCCCTGTGTCTCGCTGACAACAACAAAATATAGCCACGTGTCACCTAATAACAGGGATACATCCTAAAAAATGCATTATTAGATGATTTCATCATTGTGCAAACATCATAGAATGTCCTTACATAAACCTATATTGTGTAGCGTACTGCACACCTAGGCTGTATGGTCTAGCCTGGTGCTCCTAGGCTATAAACCTATACAGCATGTTACTGTACTGAACACTACAGGCAATTGTTAACACAATGGTAAGTACCTGTGTATCTAAACATACCTAAACATAGAAAAAGTACCAGTAACAATAAGCTATTATAGTCTTTTTAGCTTATTTTAAGTTCAGGGGTACAGTGCAGTTTGTTATATAGATAAGCTTGTGTCACGGGGTTTGTTGAACAGACTATTTAATTACCCAGGTATTAAGCTGAGTACCCATTAGTTATTTTTCCTGATCCTCTCCCTCCATGCTCTGATAGGCCCCATTGTGTGTTGTTTCCCTCTACATGTCCATGTGTTCTCATCATTTATCTCCCACTTATAAGTGAGAACATGCGGTATTTGGCTTTCTGTTCTTGTGTTAGTTTGCTAAGGATAATGGCCTGCAGCTCCATCCGTGTTCCTATAAAGGACATGATCTTGGTCTTTTTTTATGGCTGCATAGTATTCCATCGTATATATCTATCACATTTTCCTTATCCAGTCTACCACTGATGGGCATTTAGGTGGATTCCATGTCTTTGCTGTTATGAATAATGCTGCAATGAACATACACATGAATATATCTTTATGGTAGAACAATTTGAATTCCTTTGGGTGTATGCCCAGTAATGAGATGTTGGGGTGAATGGCAGTTCTGTTTTTAGGTCTTTGAGGAATCACCACACTGTTTTCCACAATGGTTGAACTAATTTTATGGGACCACTGTCCCATATGTAGTCCATCATTGACGGAAAAGTCATTTTGTGATGCATGACTACTAGCATGAACCTAATGACTATTAATCCACTGGGAAAAAGTCAGGTTTCCTATGTCTTATCATGTTCAGATAGGGGCCTCTTTTAAACTAATGACAATAGCATCAAAAAGAGAGGACACTAATAATTCCCAAAATTCAACAAATAGTTTGAAATTCATTAGAATGATTTTATGAACTACTGGCATTACAACATATCACCTGCTAAACAGTTCTATGTTATCTATATCTTAGTTTATTGGAGAATAAAAGGAAGTACTTTTAAAAATTATTTGTCAATTGATTTCTATAGTAAATTTTGATTTCCAGTTGTCAAATTTTTAAGATTATACCTAACTCTAGGCCTTAGAGAGACCAGAGTGCAAGGGTAGCAATATCTCATACCGGTTATTAAGCCACACTACTTCAAAGAAGAATAGACTGACTTCTCCCACATAACCCACAAATTTAATCATTTTCTAGGGAAGTTGCAGACCTACTGCTCAGAAATGAATGAAGGAAGGTGGGAAATCTGTTAGCCTTGAAAAATATTCTGAAAATGACAGTGTAGGACTGATAGCAAGCTTATTTTAAAATTTTAATGTTTCTATCTTTTGTCTGATAATATTATTCCCTCTTTCTCAGATCACTTTTTTTTAGGTATTAGTTTTATCTTCTGTTTCTGATAAACACCTCCAGTTTTGATATGGTTAAATCCCCGTTTTAGGGTCTTCTAGTTTGTACTTGGTAACATTCAGTGGCAGAAAATGTATCATCAGAGGAAGAGCTTTGAACTAGCATTAGAGTGATCCAGTTTTCTGAATCCTAATTTGGACACATGATCAGACCATGTTTCTTCAGCTCCTTCAGTACATCTTCAGCTCCACTGTATTTTGTGTACAGGGATGCAAACATGACAAGAATGTCTCCATCTTCATGGAGCTCACAGTCTAATTTCATCTGGAGGCCAGGCTTGTTCAACAGTAACACTATAATGTAATAATAGCTACACAGGTGGCAAGAAGAAGGACAATCTTCTATCCTTTGGGAGAAGGGAGTCAAAGCTGAGGAGACTTTTAGCCCAGTCTTAGAAGCATATGTGTTTCCTTAGCAGGCAAGCATTGGGGCTGTGGGAAGGACATTCTGGGCCATCACAAGCACAAATGCACAGAATTGTTTGAGACTAGAATCTGCCACATGGCTGGAAAATGTAACATTCTCCAGGTATATGAACCTGAAAAAATTTATTTGGAAACCTTGGGATCTAATCCATCTTGACATCTTGTTGAGTTTCATAAAGTGCCTTGGCTTTCCTGGTTGTAGGACTACTTCAGTGAGGCAGCATATTGATGCCGCTGAAAGAGCTTCGGACAAAAGGGGAAAGTTATTTTGTCCTGTTTCTTGTCAATAAAAATTCAAACTTGGCTCCATTTGTGAGACCAACCTTCTTTAATGTATTTTGAGATGGATAGTGAGGGACCTTTGGCAATAAGCTTGGGTTGAATCACAGCAATTACAGGCATGAAATGAAAGGAACCACCTGTCCTGAGAGGCCCCTTAAAGATCCCACCAGCCTTCATTTCCTCTCACAATAGGAGGTTTGGGGCCTCTACTGAATAGGATGTAACCACAACAAAACAATGTCTGCCTGTGTGGGTTTTAAAAATAAACTGAAGTGATTTGTATGTGCAAATGGCAACTTAGGAAAAGAAGCGTAGAAAAGCCAAGTTAAAAAAGAAAGCAAACAAATACTTGAAATCCCTGACTCTTTTCTTTTCCAACAGGTTTTCCTCCTTAGAACTGTGGTCTGGAAAACTCATTTATTATTGCTTTGCATACTGAGCAGTTCAACACCCCTCTCTTCCCAGGTTCTGCTTTGGAATTCAAATGATATTATAGAAAGTACAGAATAATATAGATATAATATAGATCAGCTGTAATCTTGGGTCCTTACATGGATAACTGAAAGCCTTCAGGCTTTTAAAAACTATGTGCAGAGAATATGCATTTGCTGTCTTGGCTTGGCTATATAAATATTCTTTGGAGTCTTGAAAGGCGGGCTCAGTCATACCAGCTTGCATTTTAGGAGAGTTTAATCAACTGATTAATGACACAAAAGAATATATCCACTCACTTGATGTTTCATTTGCATAGTTTATCAGTAGGAAATTTTTCTGGTAATTTGCATACTCTACTGCTTTCACAATTAGGATAATGAGGAGAAATCATCAAACTCTATAAACAATGGCTATCAGCTAAATCTAGTAGAGAAGGGAAATTAGAATTTATCTCGAGCACCATCGTTAACAATTCTTTAAAAGATATATAATTACTAGTCAGCAGAAATTGGCCAAGTTATAGAGGCTGCACGTTTTAAAGTATTTAGATTTTAAAAGTATCTTTAAATGAAATCAGTATTCCTAGAAACTTACGGAGAATAAATCACTAGGTCAAGGAATTAGTTAGGATATACTTTATATTCAAATTCAGTTTGTATGAGAATGTGCTTTTTCACTTACTAGGACCTCTAAGAACATGAAAAGTTACAATTACAAGGCATTTATGTTAAAAAAATATATTTATAGGGAATAGTGCTGCATAATACTAAAATGTCTAATTAAAGAATAAAAACTTCAGCCAATTGCCCAGTTAATCCGTCTACACAAATATAGACTCTGACAAATGAATATCTCTCCAAATATGTAGATAATTGAATCTCTCTCCAAATACATAGAAAAATAAGTTTATGATTTTCAGATAATTTCTTTGAAATAGTTTTAAGGTAACAAATAATGACTTTGAAAGTCAATCAACATTTAAAATTCCATGATCATTTCTGATGTTCTGAAGTAATCCTAAAACAGAGAGAGTAAAGGCACTTTGATAAAACTCAACAAAACATCAAGATGTATCAGATCCCAAGGCTTTCAAATAATTTATTTTCTTTTAAGGTGCATACACCCGAAGAATGCTAAATTTTCCAGTCAGGTGGGAGATTATGTTTTCAAATGAGTTCATGCATTTGTGCCTGCGTTGGCCCAGAACACCCTTCCCACGGCCTACATACTTGCCTGCTAAGGAAATGCTTTTTCTTCCAACACTGGGCTGAGATTTAACTCCCTTCCCCACAGAAGGCAGAGGATTGTCTTTCTTCTGGCCACCTTTGCTGCATTGTAACAATGTTAACTATGACATTGTTTCCTCCAGAACTCACTACAAAATCATTGCTTTTTTAAATGGAAGATTTTACTAATTCACAATCTTCTTCAAGTCCAAGGAAAATAGGAGCATTGAAAAAATAAGAATTTTGTTGTAAGGTTTTATGGACTTTTTTGAATAGATACAATCTGAATTTGACTGAGCATGACATTTCTTTTAAAAATATGTTCAGGAATACATTTTAGTAGTTAATATTCTAGAAAGTCTGAAAAAGTAGAAATGATGTTTCTAAAGATTTTCATTTTCTTTTATTAAGATTGAAAAAATAAAACTAATTTTAAAAGAATAATTATAAGTATTTCTTAGAGTTTTTGATACAAAATGAAAACATTTGATGTATTCACTAAATGTATAAAATCTTTATCTCAAATGACTGGAATTAGGACACTTTATTTTGAGCCTGCGTTGTAAAAGTAAGCATTATAGAAATGCCTTCTGAAAATTAAATAGAACTCTTGATTTCCCTCCCACACAATCTGCTTCCTCCAAGTCTTCCATTCTCAGTAAATGACTAATGTTCTAACCAGTTGCTGAAAGCAAACTCCAGGAAACATCTTTGATTCTTCTCTTCCCTGCTGTCCATTCAGTGAGATGTTTTCTCTTGTTGGCATACTCTCCTCATACATCTTGATGTTTTCCTGTTGGTACTCAGCTCTTAACTAAAGGCCAACTCCCTGTTAAGCACTGCTTGATCAGTCAGTCTAAATTAGTGCTCCAGCCCCTTCACAGTCACTCCAGAGCCCCGAGCCACCTTGCTCTGTTCTACTTTCTTCATATGCTTCACCACCATCCAGAATGATTTTATTCATTGCTGCGCTTTTTTTGGTCTTCTCTACCTGAATATAAGTCCACAAAGGGAGAAACTTTTCCGTTCTTGTTTATTTCCTGTATTCCAGTGCCAAAATACAATGTTTTTACATAATACTGGCTCCAAAATATATTTCAAATGAATATTTTGGGAACAGATTTTAATATTTTTACTTCATTCAGCAAATACCTTATTTGTGTCTAGGATTGTGCTAGACAAAGTTAAGGGACTTATATTGAAAAACAGACATGTTATCAATTCTATTAACCCAATGAAATTGGATAACTTGGCATTCTTTCTCCCCTCCACCACCCCATTCACAACTCTTTCTCCTCTCAGGGACCTTACTCATAAAATATGGTGCAGCAAACGGGAAACAGCTCAGGCTACATGGGTTAAATGAGTTTGTGACTTCCAAACGTATCATATATGACCTTCGACAAGTTGTTAATGCTCATAGATGTTGTTTCTTCACCTGAAAAATAGAAATAATTTTTACAAAAATGGGATATAATAATGAAGGTATATACTAAGTATGTTTAGTACATTATTGGCTTCCAAAGAAAAGAAGCTTTTATTACTATGAGGTTGGTGCAAAAGTAACTGCTGTTTTGCCATTATTTTTAATGGCAAAAAGCACAATTATTTTTGCACGAATCTAATACTATCTCATAAACTGATCTGTTATCAGTCATGCCTCAAACCCATTTTTCACTGAAAATGAATAGTGCTTGCATAAGACCAGTTTTCAAGAGGATAATTGGCAACGAGCAAGCCTACTAATATACAGGTATCATATTTTTAATGGTCTGATTCCTTTTCTTTCCTTAAGAATAAAGCAAGGGATAATTGTGACTGATTCCTGCTGCTTCCTTATATGGCTGCTACATCCTACGGCAGCCCTGGAGGCGGTAGGCTGCCAGTAATGTCTGAGTGACTAATAAGATACAGTTATGTTAGAGATGTTGTGATCAACTCATAGCTGGTGTGTGAGGTCAAGTAGCTGGCTAAGGGGGTAGCAGCCAGCAGACCCAAAGCACAAAGAAAAAAAGTCATTGCCATCCAAGAGCAAATTGGAAGTATTAGGTTGATGCAAAAGTAATTGTGGTTTTTGCCATTGAAAGTAATGGCAAAGTCCACTATTACTTTTGCACCAACCTATCTGACTATGTGTTATTTAAAAAACAAAAAGCGAAAAACAAACAAAAAAACCCAGCAAGTCTCTTAGGCCATGAGACCCACCAAACATGGGAGCCCAAATAAGCGGCAGTGTAGTAAACTGTATCACTGAATAATTGAATATCTGGCAGGACGAATTTTATGTATTGCTTGATAGATAACATTTGCTTATTTAAAACAAGCTCAGATAATGAGTTGGGTGCTTCGGCAAAAGGATCTAAAGCAATTTCAGTTTCATCTCTTTTTAGGTTTAAATCACCTCTCTTTTATTTCATTTCCTGATTAGAACTCTTAGCAAAATAACTGTCTCAGACACGTATGGTCACTAAGTCTGATCCACGAACACCCAAAGGCATGTGTGTGTATATGCTCATGTGTATGAGTGTGTGTGTGATATTTCCTTCAGACATGCTCTGACCCTAGGGGGCACTTGAATCCTCCTCCTTTATGGGTAACTGAAATGGGCCAATGCTGGATTATCTCCAAACTGACTAACACTGGTAGGATAGTTTGGTTTAAGAACTATTCCAGATCTGTTTGTAGTTGCATCTTATTACAGTCTAGATTGAAGTTGGTTTCTTGTTGCTGCCTAAATCTTTCTTGAAGCCATCCCAAAAATATAAGGTTCCTCTAGATTAGAGGAGTCTCAGTATGACTCCAAAAGAAACTGATTCCTTTTGGCTTCCGACTGACTTAGACCCAAACCTCTCCAAATGCAATGATGGAGAGAGCAAGTTTCCGGACACTTTCTGCCCCATGAAAATTATCTATAACTATGTTGTCAAATATAGTAGCTACTAACTACATATAGCTTTTAACATTAAAATTCATTAAAATCAAATCAAATAAAAAATTTCATCCCCTAGTTCCAAGGATCAACTTTTCACATGTTCAATAGCCAAGGTCCATATATAGCACAGATATAAAACATTTCCATCAATACAGAAAGTTCTATTAGGTATCTAAACATAGATACCAATTGTTTGTCGAATTTTAGCTTTGCTCTACTTAAGCAAGCAAACACATTTGTGGTAATATTAACAATCATGCATCTTCCACTCATGTTTCACCATTAGTGACACTATTATTAATCAAGGATACATCCAGGAGAGGGAAGATTATTGCTTGATAAGAGCACTGTTTAGTTTCCTAAGCCAAAAGTTTGCAGTAGACTTCAAAGCTAGTGGTATCTTGGGGCTTCCAATAATCATGTGTTGAAGAATGGAGAAAAATTCCATTTTCAATACCTGTTCAGCACTTTATGCTTCCCCTTCTAAAATGCTCATCAGGCTTATAAATACTTATGCAATATCTATCATCCCCACTAAATTGTAAGACTTCACTGCAACTGACACTGCATCTATCTAGCTTATCATTATAGCCTCAGCATCTGGTACCATGCCTACAATATATTTATTGCACAATATATATTTGTTTAATGAATGAATTAATAAATCTTAACTTTCTAAATATCACTCATGGATAAAAATGCCAATTTCTTGGGGTTACTGTGAGGATTATGTGGAACAGTGTAAATGAAGTATTTGACATGTGCCTGATGTGTAAGAGGTGTTCCAGTACTACTTCCTCTCCCACCCTTTGATTAATAGGAACTTGGGTCACTTGGATCCATAGGTCAGAGAGACTTTGGTCAAGCTGACAATTTCTCTAAGTCTTAGCAGTTGTGCTCCTTCCCTTTGATCAGAAGCTTGGCTTAAGTTATTAACTACAAGGGGAAAAAAATGAGTTCGGTTCTGTGATTTGGCACTAAGGCAGCCATTCTCCAAGGGAACAAAGTACTAACTCAGAACAGCTAGGTTCATAATTCATGCTAGAAATCTCTTCAAGACTAAAATTCTGGCCTTTTTCCAACCGTCCGGTTCGTTCAGGCTTCTCTTTTCCTATCAGAATTCTGAAAGCAAAACTGTGCCAACAATTAAGTGTTGAAACCATTCCTAGAGATTCCTAGACACGAATTAGTACTGCAGGGCCAGTTTGAGGGAGAAATTTGGAATGAATGGAACTTTAGGATGGGCATTTACAGTCTTTTTGTTTGCCCTTGCTCTGTGGTTTCAGCTCTCCCTTAAAATGTTACCTTTGTATATTTCAGAGGCGGAAGGGATGACACGTTCTTGTTTAGCTTAGAGGCAGTTATTAGAAACACCAGTTTTAAGATGTATTAAGCAAAAAGGGGAAAGACCCTAAGTGTTTTGCAGCGTAGTCCCACGTATTATGGAACATGTTGTGGAAAAAATGTTTAGCCATCTGCTAACGGATATTAGGAAAAGTGGAGACTGTGTTAAAAAATAAAGCGTCGGGTTGTCCTTTGCAGAAAGTTAATAAAAAGAAGGAAGTGAAGACTGCTCATTATTTTTAATGACTCTGCTTTCCTGCAGAGTGCCCATATCTCCCAGCCTTTACATTCTGCCATTCTGCCTTCTTCCAGTTCATTACAGCACACTAAACTGCTCCTTAGAATGATGGCTTTGTTCTAAAGCAGAGTTCATCAAGAGGCGCGAAGTCCCAGGCTTAGCGGTTGTTAATCACAGTTCCAGGGGTAGGTAATGACGCAAAGATGAGCCCAGGACGTTGTCCATGGAACAGTCACCAAACCTGACTGCCCTGAACTTCCTTCTCAGCATGTCTGAATTGTTACAGGGATTCAGCCCTCAAATGCCTTGTTGTACTTGGGGGGTGATGTAAGCTTCAGCCGCTCATAATAGTTCTTATCTGGTAAACCAGAGACACCACGGTGTGGTTAGAAGTAGTCTTCGTCCTTGAAAATTTCATGTAGTATATATTTACATCATACTTGCCTTTCTAGTTTTATTTTTTTCAGTATATACTATTTGCATGTGTAAACTTTGTGCTATACATTTAGAGTAAGGAGCTTTCTGTGCTATCATTGACTGTGGATGGACTGAGATCTCACAGATAAATCATGAAAAGTGCATAATAAATTCATCGTAGTGAGATGAAAAAGTAGTAAAAGTAGTAAGTATTCCTTCATTCCACCATGAGGCTAAAACAAGGTAAGCTGTTTAATCTGGGCATATATATGATAAGGCAGTAAAACAATGTAAACGTGCACAGACGCGCACACACACACACACACACGCACACACACGGAATGAAAATTCCAGCTCCAAACTATATTGGGTAAACCTGCTGTCTTTATTTTATATCTATATGTATATCTACATTACTCTTTCCAAATAAGGACTAAAATGGCTGTGTAGGAAGCCCTTTGAACTTTGTATTTACAAGTCCATGTGTTCGAAAAAGAGATAAGCCCCCTCTGGAGAGTGCCCAGCTGGATAAAGGACACGCAGCTCTCTCTCCAACGTGGGACTGGAGTAAGACATGCCGCAGCAGCATTTTCTCTGAACTGAAGAAGGTGGCGTCTCTTGACTTTCTTCAGGCAAAATCATAAGAGATTTACCTATTTATAAATTCAAGAATTGGAGTGATACTCTGCTTGGTTTACTTTTGTTTCCATGTGAGCATATGCGTTTTTAAAATAAAAAGTAAGTGGATCTTTTTGCCAAAAGTTTTCAGGCACCATATCCTTTAAAAAAGCCTTGCTAGAAATAAAGTATATGTTTATTCATTAGCTGTCAGGCACTTCTGGGCTCAGTACCCATACACACAGGCTGTTTAATGCGGAGTTTAATAACATTTATATAGAACCGTTCTGGGGACTATCTTGGTAGAGAAATATCCATACTGACAAAGCATATTGTTTTGCTTGTCTTCATCCAGTGAAATAGGAAAATAGGATTGCCCCCACCCTATCTAAATGCTGCCATGCTGTTGATAAAAAAAATAATAATAATCCACTTTACCGTCATGCTAGAAAGTGAAGAATGAAACCAGGCAGCCAATTTGAAAGAAAAATGAACATGTTTTAGATTTCCCCAAAGCCCAGTAGAGATCGAGTTAGAGCTATTTTTACCCCCTCCCCAAATGATTTAACTTTGTCTCTTGACAACGATCTAGAGTTGCCTGATGTATTTAGTTTGGAAGAGACAAACTTGATAAGCTGCTGAGCAGAAAACTAATTAGGAAAGAAAGGGTTCATTGGATTGCAGGAAAAATAACAAAATGAACAAAGGAAAGAAAGTAAGTGTTCTGTTCTGTCATTAGTTGGGCTCATACTGTGCAGAAGGGAGTTACCAAAGTCATTTCCCCAACTGCCAGGCCTCTGTAATTGACTTATTATTAGAATCCATAGGAAAATAACCAAGTGTGGTCAGGACAACTCAATCAAGAAGCTGGTGATGTGGGAAGGGAAAGGCATGGGGAGAAACAATAGCGACCACAGCTAACCTTAGCGAGTGAAGAAACACCATGTAGGGGCTGCAGTTAATTGTTTAATCACATTGATGTCTAAACTATGCTATTAAGAGTTACTAATTGAGATGCTTAATTGCATTTGCATTTCAGGATGGAAGGCTTCCTTGAGCCTTGTGGTGTAGGTATACAATATTCTAAGTGTGTGCACATGTGCATGTGTCTGTCTTTTTTGTTTGTTTGTTTCTGAGATGCAGTCTTGCTCTGTTGCTAGGCTGGGGTGCAGTGGCGTGATCTTGGCTCACTGCAACCTCTGCCTCCCGGGTTCAAGCAATTCTCCTGCCTCAGCCTCCCGAGTAGATGGGACTACTGGCGCACACCACCACATCCAGCTAATTTTTGTAATTTTAGTAGAGACGGGGTTTCACCATGTTGGCCAAGATGGTCTCGAACTCTTGACCTCATGATCCACCCGCCTTGGCCTCCCAAAATGTTGGGATTACAGGCATGAGCCTGGCCATGTGTATGTCATTTTTTGTATGTTTGCAAAAGAATGATTTGAGGAGAAGTTAGAGTGGAGAAAAGTTTTTGTTGCACAAATCATTGGTTGGAATTGTATCATTTAAAGGGGTAAAATTTATTAGTGGTGGATTAGGTTATGTTATCCTCTTGAAGACGCAGTTTGCTCCTTTATAAGAGGCAGTGTGAACCTACTCATGAATTGTTTATGAGTGTTGAATGAGATGATGTGTGTAAAGCATGCTTTAGATGTATTTATGTATTTACTTATTTTTTAAAGACAGAGTCTTGGTCTGGTCACCCAGGCTGGAGTGCAGTGGCATGATCATAGCTCACTGCAGTCTTGGACTCCTGGACACAAATAAACCACCTGCCTCAGCCTCCCAAATATCTAGGACTACAGTCATGTGCCACCATGCCTAGCTATATGTTGTTGTTGTTGTTCAATCAGATTTCCCAGGTTGAATAATTTTTATTCGTCTTTTTTTGTAGAGATGGGGGTCTTGCTATGTTGCCCAGGTAGGTCTCAAACTCCTGGCCTCAAGTGATCCTCCCACCTCAGCCTCCCAAAGTGCTGGGATTACAGGCATGAGCAACTGTGCCTGGTCAAGCATACTTTAATATCTATATAGGAACAAATAAATATTAACTCATTTTTCACCACCCTGAGACCTATGTTGAATAGCCACCTCCTTCTGCAACCGACTTGGGACAAAAAAAATGAAAAAAAATCACAGTAAGTTACTGAACAGGAGAACTACACTTACCGATGTCTGAACATATAAAGAAGGTTAGGGTAGGGTGAAATGATACTAAAATACGTATTCAGCAGATTGTTGGCTTTCAATTTAATTGCCTCTCTATTCTACTCTGATTACTTTGGATGCTCTAGGGTGGCACAATGGGAACCTATTGTTAGTAATAAACCTAGATTTAGGCTAAAAATAACTTTAAACAGTTCTACCTCTTTCATCCTTTTGCCTGTCAAAACTATTGAGGTAATAAATTTCAAGTGCCAGCATGGAGAGAGAATTCCCAAAAATAGATCATGTTATTAAGAGCCTTGAGGAAATACTCTATTATAATTTGCTTCCTAGATAATTTTGTAAAATAGATATACAAGAATTATTGCTCAATGATCATAAAATTCCTGTGGAATTACATACTCTAGTAGTCAGTATGAACTCATTTTGGCCCACATGTTATGATAGTGAATACCACAGTGTTGTGGTGAAGGGTCAGAAAAGACAGAGAAACAAATGATGTAGGTGATCAGGAAGCCAAAACCGAGAGCAGAGGAGCTAAAGACAACAATGAGCCTGAACTGAGAAACAAGAAGGAGGTTGGGGGTTTGCGGAATGAAACTTCTTTGTACTTTATTTGAAGATTCACTTCACGAAAATGTTGCAATACTGTTTCCATCTCCAAAAGAATAAAGTCCTAGGTTTGGTAAGGAAGAGTAAATGGAAATTGCAAAAGGTCGTTTTCTTCCCAGAACAATATAAAAATTTTGGCTGCCTTTTCTGGCAGAGAAACATTGAATTATATTTCTTTTTCATATAAAATATGGCCTTTCTATGAGATAAGTCTTTAGGGAAATGAGCCAACATCCTTTCCCACCCTTACAAGCTGTCAGATTATTTTATTTGCTTTGTAAATTTGAATTTGCTAGAAATTATCCATAGAGATGGGCCAAATAGAAGAAATCAAAGTGATATACCACACACAATCACAGTCAACTCAATGTGAATGCAGTTCCTCATGGACTGATTCCAGACTGTCATTTTCTAAATCTCATCCATCAGTAGTCAAAACAACCTGAAGTTATTTGGTTTAGTTTTATCTGATAAACAGGGTCAGGTCTGGACAGCACCTTACAGAGAATTCTTTGGGAAATCTTAGCCCAGAAAGCAAGAATGTTAAAGAAGTTGCACTTTTCCCAATCAAGTTGAACCCATGGGGGAGGATATTTGATCTACTGGATGAATGAAACAGAACTGGATCTTGGTTCATTTTTACTCATTAAGAACTCCACATGCTTTCTGCCAAAGATTTTGCAATATCAGCTGAAACTCATTCCAAGTTGTCGTCCATATTCAAATATGAGACAATTCTATATTCCATCTCGTCATTGCTATAGTAAAAATGGTTTGTTTCCTTTTTCTGTCATAATGCTTCTAAGTTTTATATATTATGATGCTCTTCAGAAAGCTCCTTACATACAGTGGATATTCTCTAAGTTACTCTGTCAATAATGATGTAAAGTAGATCCACAAGTTACTTTTCTACCTAAAACCAATCACTAACAATAAGGTCGTGCATTAATAAAAGACTCTTGACTAGAAATCTCATCACATTTGATCATTAGTTATATCATAAAACCATGCCTGCAGTTTGACTTAGGTATCTACCACTGTAACCCCAGCACCTAAAAGCAAGCCTGCCATATCATTAAAACTTAATAAATATTGGTAGAATGAACAAATGCATTGAAGAAAGACTATAAGCCTAATAACTTTATTTAAAATGCTATTTCATGCCTTACCAGCAAATCTGTAAATGCCTTCTTCTATGAAAATGAATTACATCTAGATACTGCCTGATAACCTTCAGTTTAGTTGTAGAGAAGAAAATATAAATGGATAAATAGTAAAACCACCATCAGAACGTTGGGGTTAGAAAAAGGTTAAGAATAGTGTTATGAGAGTTAAGAAAGGAGACAGGGAATGATTAGCTAAAAGAATGAAGAAAGCTTCTTAGAAAAGGTGGATAATGATAGTGCCTTGAAGAATAGCTAGAAGTTTTTGTGATAAAAAAAAGACTGGAGTAAAACATTGTCCGGCAGTGTCTGGAGCTGGACAGCCTGAGTTCAAATTATAACCTCAACTAGTGCATTTAGCCATGTAATACTGGTGAAATTACTTAACCACTCTGTGTAAAATGAAGATGGTAATATTTTCTACCTGACAGGGTGGTTGTGAAGAGGATGCTAGCTACTCTATGAATTTTCCTGATAAAAGCACAATAGCAGATGAGTGGCACCTCTAGTAACAGATAATCTAGTTAACACTTAACCTGTGAAATATAATATTGAAATATAATATTGAAAGCATTCAAATAACATTACTAACAGCATATCTCAGAACATTAGGCCATCTTTGAACATGTGGCTCTAGACTGCAAACAGCCACAGCCAACCACTGAGGGACTCTCTCTGTCCTGTGTGGACAGACTGGATCCTTAGTAGTACTTCTATGACTTGGTGCAAGTCATCACCACATGTGCAGTGGTAGTAACACTAAGATTTCTCATTTGGCAACCAGCACATTTGACAAGAATATGAAACACTGGTGGGGTGGGGGATGGGAGCACAGGGGGCATGTGTATTCTTAGATTTAAACCTGTAGCTGCTCTTTTGTAAAATCCTTCTAATAAATATAACTTTCCTTCATGCTTTAAGGAAACATTTTTCATAGGATGTGAAGGATTTATGGTGGAAACTGCCTCACTGGAGATTCTAGGAAGCATCTTCACAGGGCCTAATGCTTTCTTACTTGGAACTCTCAAAGAAATGCAATTGAAGTGGCATATGATTCCTAAAATCATGGCAGGGCATTCGTCATTATCCTCATGAATATGGGATGAATGTTAGCCCTGTTCATTTAGTTTCTTCTGATCTAAGATCTTTTTATCCTGAAATTTCCACCCATAGTTGGCCTTTCATATCAAGCACAAAGACTTATGTACATTTTGTCTGATTCAATAACCTCTGGAGGAAGATAGCTAGTGTTATAGAAATGGAAAATTAATTAATAATACCATAGTATGCTCTTTTGTGCATCTCCATTATAGAGCAGCAATATGAGAAATTACTGGCTCCAACAAACAGGCATGTTTGTGTTGCTTTTTCTCAATTTGTGCAAGAACAATGAAAATCAGAATATTACTGTGGACAGATTTAACTCTGGGAACATAGAACTTCCTTCCAGTGCAATCATTTCAGTTACCTTTTCAAAAGGAAAATGAAACTTATTTTAAAAGCCAGGCTTACTTGAACTCAATGTACCCCCTGAGATCTGCCCCTCCCCACAATTGAAGCTTGTAACAGTGTTGTATTACAAAGACTATGAAGGAAATTGTACTCACTTTAAAATTATTTTCTTCCAATAAGTTCTTGTCTTCTTAATGAAATATATCATGTATTTACACATCATATTATCAAAAAGAGAAGACAAATAATTTAGCTTATATTATTAAATATGGCTAATTTAATATCCTACCACTACAGAAAGAAAATATTTGATTACTAAAACTGTTTTACTTTGAGGTGGACAAGAGAGGGCAGTCATGTATTTCATATCTAATTGTGCATACATTTTTCAGCTGTAAAGGATTGATTGGAGGAAAATGATTTTTTCAAAGGATTGCAAAAAATGTAAAATTAATATAAAACATTGACACACACATACTATTTTTTATAAGTAAAAACAAACAGGAAAAGAAACTTTTGGAAGATTACTATATAAATTGCTTTAAAGGTATTTGAGCAACCACATTAAAATAAGAGCAGACATAAAAATCATTTTCTGCTAGGCTTGATTTAATTCAATCTAAAATAAACAACCATTTAAAAATAATACTATTTGAAAAGAAAAGGAGAAAAACTCTTTTACAATCAAAATTTCACAGAAGCTAAATTTTGACTTGAAAAGAATGATGTCCTCTGACCTATAATATATAATCAAAATTGACAAAATTTATAACGGAAAAGAAGGGAATGGTCTCAACTCAGTTCCAACGAAAAGTCTGTTCCTGTCCCAAAGTACCTCCTAGTGACCTCCCATGAACCAGCCCACTGAACTGTCTGTGTGTAGGGGAGGTTGAGCTTGCAAACACTGTGTTGCTACAGGCCAGGAGGGAGCCAAGGGACAGGGCCTGCCCTGAGTCCTTGCCACTGCTGCCATTTTTTGCCCCCAGCACCACTCCATTGCATATCTAAAACATTTTCCTGCGGAGGATCCTAGAGCTTTGCAACTGAATTTCCTGAAATTTTTCAGCAGCCAGGTGTTAAATATAAAATCCCAGTAAAAGCCTTCAGAAAGATTTTCTTAGTTGACCTCAGAAGGAAAGGAGCCCTGGGGACAGCATCTTTATCCAAAGATCAAAATGTGAGGCAAACAGCCAGAAATAATCAGAAGCTTCAAAGCAAAGAAAGAAATCAGACTTTTTTCTTTTTTTTTCTGAAAGATAAGGGATTGTTCATTATAATCTTCTTCACAAGTATTCAGAGCTGGAGAACAAGTTTTAACTTTTGCTTTTTCTAATGTTTTAATGTTTTTATGCTCTTAAAGCTTTGTGTCTTATAATGGGAAAACTCAAAGCCCACTGGGTAGTCAGTTGCAGAGCAGAACTGTCTCCCCAGTCAATTTCAGTTTTTATCAAGACAGAATGCTCTGCAGAGGTAGATACATTTGTGAATTTGATCTTGTTGTTTATTGATCCTTACACAATTCTCTTAAATTGTCATAATAACAGCTATTACTCTGACACATTATCAATGGGAAATGAGGATTCAGAACAAAAAGGAGCTCGTCCTATTGTTGGGTAGTGAAGTGAAAGCAAGATTCATTTATTCATTCAGGCTTATAAAAATAGGCAGTTGGAAAAAGGGAATGAACGAGTGAACACTTAGTAAGCTCTCTCAATAAACGTTGAGTTACTTCCACTTCCAAATGTTCACCAATCACACAGAGTCAAGAAAAAAAGAGATCTCAAGCAGATTTAAAGTAGAATCTCCAGGGCACTGTCTGTGGCAGATATTCTCAAATTTTTGGTCTCAGAACCCCTTTATACCCTTAAAAATTATGGACCCGAAAGAGTTTAAGTGAGTTATATCTAGTTACAATTATCATATTAAAAGTTAAAACTGAAATATATAAATTAATTCATTTAAAAATAACACTAATAACCATTTTCTTATGAAAAGGAACTACCGTCTTCCAAAAGTTAGTTATAAAAGTAGAATTGTTTGACAGTTTTGAACATCTTTTAAAGGTCTGGCTTCACGGAAGTTAGCTAGATTGGCAAATCTGTTGTGATTTGTTGCTTCAGTTGAAGTATATGAAAAAATCTGGTCTCATACACATATATAGTTGCAAAAGGGAAGAGTATTTGAATAGCCATTTTAGTAGTTGTGAATATTCATCTTTTACGTTACATCAAAATTCAAAAAGTGATAGTTTCTTAAAGATTAGTTGCAATATGAAATCTAAAATCATATTCATGAATGCTTTATAGCAGGGGTCCCCAACCTCTGTGGCTGGTCCGTGGTCTGTTAGGAACCGGGCTGCACAGCAGGAGTTGAGCAGCAGGTGAGCGGGTAAAGCTTCATCTGTATTTATTATATTTCTTTATTTCAGACAGAGTTTCATTTTTTGTGCCTAGGCTGGAGTGCAACGGCACGGTCTCTGCTCACTGCAACCTCCGCCTCCCAGGTTCAAGCAATTCTCCTGCCTCAGCCTCCCAAGTAGCTGGGATTACAGGCACCTGCCACCATGCCAGGCTAATTTTTGTATTTTTAGTAGAGACGGGGTTTCGCCTTGTTGCCCAGCTGGTCTCGAACTCCTGACCTAAGGTGATCTGCCTGCTTCAGCTTCCCAAAGTGTTGGGATTACAGGCGTGAGCCACTGAAAGCTTCATCTGTATTTACAGCCACTACCTCCATTGCTTGCATTACTGCCTGAGCTCTGCCTCTTGTCAGATAAGTGCAGCATTAGATTCTCACTGGAGCACAAACCCTGTTCTGAACTGTACCTGTGAAGGATCTAGGTTTCATGCTTATCATGAGAATCTAATGCCTGATGATCTGAGGTGGAACAGTTTCATCCTAAAGCCATCTCCGCCTACCCCCTGGTCCATGGAGAAATTGTTTTCCATGAAACTGGTCCCTGGTGCCAAAAAGTTTGGGGACTACTGCTTTATAGTCTGTCTAGTTCTGTACATTGGCCTATCTTGCACCTTTAGTGGATTTTTATCTATGCATGATTTTTGTAACATCATGATTTGTTATTTGGAATATATTGGTTCACTCTTTTACATGGTTCTTCCAAATGTACAGTGAAAAATGCCACTGTACACTTACGAGAGAATGAGCTTTTACACACAAATAATGTACTAGCATTATGCCAAAATTATTTGACTCACAGACTCTGTGAAAGTGTCTCAAAGACCCACAGGGACCCATGCTACTAGAGAGCAGCTGCTCTATGGCATCATCATGGCCTTTTTTCTCGACACTATTTAATAAACACTGTTTAAACTCTCTATTGCCCCTTCTACTCTCACAAGTACCTTCATATCACCACTTTGACCTTCTTTTGATTTACCATATACAGGTATTTCTCATTTCAGAAACTTTGTTACTTCTACTTGACTTCTAATAAAGCTTTAGTTTAGATGCTCCTTTTCCCAAGAATCCTACTCTGACTTTCCTTAATTTGGGTTAGGTATCTTGTCTTAGATATTACTCAAATTAATAACTTTTTTTTTTTGAGACGGAGTCTCACTCTGTCGCCCAGGCTGGAGTGCAGTGGTGTGATCTCGGCTCATTGCAACCTCGCCTCCCGGGTTCAAGAAATTCTCCTGCTTCAGCCTCCTGAGTAGCTGGGATTACAGGTGCCCGCCACCACGCCTAGCTAATTTTTGTATTTTTATTAGAGACGGGGTTTCACCATGTTGGTCAGGCTGGTCTCGAACCCCTGACCTTGTGATCCACCCGCCTCGGCCTCCCAAAGTGCTGGGATTACAGGCGTGAACCACCGTGCCCAGCCCTCAAATTAATAACTTATTTATTTGAAATTTCTAAGTAGATTAAAACCTTTAGGGACAAGAACCATAACCATCTCAAAAAGTATTTGACAGATACTATATTCTTCATAAATCTTTTTTTTCATTGTAACAAATATTTCAAAATAATGATATGGAACTGCAGGTAATGAGATGGGTTTCTACTGCATTAAATTCGATTTTTATCGGTCTATATTTGCAGTATTGAAGTAACTCAAGCCTGTTACGTGGAATTTTATCTTTGTAGGCAAAAATAAACTTTCTGCTAAAACTTTCCATTCTTCAAGGGACAGTTCAGGTTTCACTTCCTCTAAAACAACAATAAGTGTTTCTGATCACCTCTGTCTAACAACTATCGCTCATTCTTTTAAACATATGTAGCCCTAAAGTATTCTTATACTGCTCATTTGGCAACTTGCCACGTGTTCTTTATCTTGGAGTGCTGGTTACTTTGGGTCCATGTTTTCCCCACAAGTTCTGAGCTTCTCAAGAGTAGTGACCATGTCCTCTTTACTTTTGGAGCCTCCCTATACATTTCACATTTTCTTGGTACACAGCAGATGTTTAGTAATTGATTTTGATTTATTGGCTTTTTTTGTCATTGGAATCTCAGTCTTCTCTAAAGGACTGTTACGAAATATTTTATTGGTGATTTTTTAATTTGCAGTACAGCCTTTCTTTAAACTTGGATCTGGAGAACCTACATACACAATGAAGCAATTGTACATATAAGAAGAAAAGCACATCCAGTTCAAAGTCTTCTTGGGCACTCCCTGGTTATATTGTACAGGACTGTGACCCCAAATAATACATACTTTTTGAAAACATCTGAATTAGTAAGGAATAGTTAAAAGTGACAGAAACAAAATTTAAAATAACTTAAAAAGGAAATTTATCGGCTCATATAATTGCGAAGTCCATGGGTGGAGATGTTTGTATTTAAGCCTGACTAACTCCAGAAGCTCAAACAATGATATCAGCTTATCCGTCTTGTGGTTCTGTTTGTATTTGTGTTTCTCTTCCTGATGGCATCATTCTCTCATGCCTTAGACAGGATCTCAAAGAAGCTTACTCAGTGCTTGGTGCTTACAGCCTACAATCCACAAGGCAGAGACACATCGTCTCTCCAGCATCCAAATTTGAAATCTTGGTGGAAGCATTCTAACTGGTCCAGCTTAGTTCATGTGATCATCATTTGGACCAATTACTAAAGATAAAATGCTGGAATACCATGATGGGATAACTCTCAGCCCTATATGCACCAGTGTCATTCACAGGCTAGCCATAACCGTATGAGTTGGGTGGGGTGGTGTTGTAAAAGCCTGACAGAAGTTGATGTGCTGGACAGAAAAAGATTCTAGGTATCAACTATGCCTGGGTTCAAAGATTTCTCTGCAATAATATTAAATAGGTACTTGGTTAATGCAAGGAATATGTAAAGTTGGAAACAAAATAAAACATGTATTTGGGTTATTCAGATGGGAAAAACATTGGTTACTTGGAGGGGAATATTGTATTTCCTCTTTTAAAAGTAACTAAATTCTAATTTGGAAGAGAGATGTGTATTTACCATCATATTAGCTGTGGAATGTAGGCAAATTATTTACCCTTTCTGAGTTTCAGTTTCAGATCTAGAGATCAGTAGTTTTTAACTTGGGCTACAAATTAAAATCACTTGGGGGAGCTCTTAAAAGGAGCTCCTATCAGGAGACGCCCAGGCCTCACGCTAGACAACTTAAGTCAGTGTCTGGGATAGGGATTCAACGTGATTACCTTTATAAATCCAAAGGTCATCCTAATGTATTCCCAAAGGTGAGAATCATTTCTCTAAATTCTTTCATTCCTTTGGTATACGATACATGTATTAGTTGTAAACTATGTTATTTATATTTACTGGGTTTGGGGTTGTTTCTGTGTCAACCATGTCTTCTATTTTCTGGGTTCTGATGCTTTGACATCTGGGCCCTTGTTGACTCTGGAAGGACTCCCTGCCAAGGTTGATCAATTCCAAGAGATGGTAAACAATTTGCTCTTGAGCTCTTTTCAAATACCAACCAACCAACTCAGAGCCCATGCCCCAACCACCACCTCCTTTACCAGACTCTTACACTCCAAGACACTATCCACCTGCCCTAATCACCCAAGATCAGGTACCAGAAAACCAAGGACAGCCGACAGCCACTATGTCCTATAGCCACTATGTCCTAAATATGCTAAACTTATTCAAATGATCCAGTCCTAAACCTGCTTACCCTCTTCACCTGTTCTTTCCCAGGAAATCTCAATAATTGCTCTTGCCCACAGTTTCCCCTCCCTCTGCCTCCTGAATGACCGAGGTGTTTCCCCGTGTGGCCCTTTCATAACATGGTCAACCCCCTTTTTCTTTTTTTATCTTTTTCAAATTTTTATTTTACTTTAAGTTCTGGGATACATGTGCAGAACGTGCAGGTTTGTTACATAGGCATACGCATGCCATAGTGGTTTGCTGCACCTATCAACCTGTCATCTAGGTTTTAAGCCCCACATGCATTAGCTCTTTGCCGTGATGCTCTCCCTCCCCTACTCCCCAGCCCTCCAATAGGCCCTGGTGTGTGTTGTTCCCCTCCATGTGACCATGTGTTCTCATTGTTCAATTCCCACTTAGGAGTGAGAACATGCTCAAATTGTATTTCCCGTTCTAGATCCTTGAAGAATCCCCGCACTGTCTTCACAATGGTTGAACTAATTTACCTTCCCACCAACAACGTAAAAGCATTCTTATTTCTCCACAACCTCACCAGCATCTGTTGTCTCTTGACTTTTTAGTAATCGTCATTGTGACTGGTGTAAGATGGTATCTCATTGTGGTTTTGATTTGCATTTCTCTAATGATGTTGAGATTTTTTCCATATGTTTTTTGGTCGCATAAATGTCTTATTTTGAGAAGTGTCTGTTCATATCCTTTGCCCACTTTTTCATGGGGTTGTTTTACTCTTGTAAATTTAAGTTCCTTGTAGATTCTGGATATTAAAATTTTGTCAGATAGTTAGATTGCAAAAATGTTCTCTCATTTTGTAGGTTGCCTGTTCATTCTGATGATAGTTTATTTTGCTGTGCAAAAGCTCCTTAGTTTAATTAGATCCCATTTGTCAATTTTAGCTTTTGTTGCAATTGCTTTTGGTGTTTTTTTCATGAAATCTTTGTCTATGCCCATGTCCTCATTTATTGCCTAGATTTTCTTCTAGGGTTTATATGGTTTTGGGTTTTACATTTATGTCTTTAATCCATCTTGAGTTAATTTTTGCATAAAGTGCAAGCAAAGGGTCCAGTTTCAGTTTCTGCATATGGTTAGCCAGTTTTCCCAGCACCGTATATTAAATAGGAAATCCTTTGCCCATTGCTTGTTTTTGTCAGGTTTTTGTCAGGTTTGTTGAAGATGGTTGTAGATGTGTGGTGTTATTTCTGAGTTCTCTGTTCTGTTCCATTGGTCTGTATGTCTGTTTTGGTACCAGTACCATGCTACTTTGTTTACTGTAGCCTTGTAGTATAGTTTGGAGTCAGGTTGCCTCATGCCTCCAGCTTTGTTCTTTTTGCTTAGGATTGTCTTGGCTATATGGGCTATTTTTTGGTTCCATACGAAATTTAAAGTAGCTTTTTTTTTAATTCTGTGAAGAATGTCAATGGTAGTTTGATGGGAATAGCATTGAATCTATAAATTACTTTGGGCAGTATGGCCATTTTCATAATATTGATTCTTCCTATCCATGAGCATGGAATGTTTTTCCATTTGTTTGTGTCCTCTCTTATTCCCTTGAGCAGTGGTTTCTAGTTCTCTTTGAAGAACTCTTCTCTTTGAAGAGGTCCTTCACATCCCTTGTTAGCAGTATTTAGTATGAAATTTCAGTATGAAACTGAAACTCAGAAACTCGGGTATTTTATTCTCTTTGTAGCATTTGTGAATGGGAATTTATTCATGATTTTGCTCTCTGCTAGTCTATTGTTGGTGTATAGAAATGCTTGTGATTTTCGCACACTGATTTTGTATCCTGAGACTTTGCTGAAGTTGCTTATCAGCTTAAGGAATTTTGGGGCTGAGACAATGGTGTTTTCTAGATATAGGGTCATGTCATCTGCGGAGACAATTTGACTTCCTCTCTTCCTATTTGAATACCCTTTATTTCTTTCTCTTGCCTGATTGCCCTGGCCAGAACTTCCAGTACTATGTTGAATAGGAGTGGTGAGAGTGGTTCCTTGTCTAGGGTGCACCCCTTTTTCTTGGAAACTGTGAGTAACTATCTTTTAATGAAAATCATTTCCTGATCTGTTGTCTTCCTATACCTCAGATCTTCTATAAATACACTATCTTTTAAAACAGTTTTTTTCCAAGCATACTGTAAGTACTTTGAAGGAAGTGATTGCACTTCAAAATTTCTTAGTATCCCAGGACTGCTTAAGTATAGTTGGTATTATTTATTCAATAAATACTCGCTACTTGATTCCATTTAGGACCTACGGATTTAGGATATTATATGTTAAATTGAAAATTATTCACTGGAAAAACCTCAATATTCACTTAAACAATGTGGATTCAATCTGCTATAGTTCTTCAGGAAAATTGGGCTAGGATTATGTGAAAGATTATTATTAAGGGTTCCTATGTTCTCTGTTCAGTTCTTCCCTTCATATTTGTAGTTCATGTTTCTTAAAAAAAAAAATCCTGAACTAGACTTATGATTTGATATTTTAATAGCCTTTTAAAACAGATTCTCACCTGCTTTGAAAAACCAACACATACATGAGGCCAAGAACAGGTTAAAACCTGGTCACCTCATTAATACCTTTAGTGGAGGCCAAAACCAGGTTAAGACTCAGTCACCTCATTAGTATCTTGTTTAGGCACCTCCAATTTAGTAGCTAGGCAAAGTATTAATGAGTGACTGATTTTTAATCTACTTTTGGCTCTAGTGAAGGCACAGTGTTTCAGGCAGATTAGGGCATGTTTGAAAAATCCCTGTTAGACATCAGTAATGCAGCACAACTGTAGAAGTAGTATGATTTTAAGACTTAAGGATAGTATTAATGCCTTCTTACCATGTTTCAGACTTAAAGCAAAGTGCTTTTGCTGGTATTATGTCATTTCACGCACACCAGGACTCTATGTGGAAGACTGCCATTATCATCATTCAATAGGTGAGGAAAGAGACTCAGAAAGGTTGAGTCACTTATCAAAGTTCATACAGCAAATACTTGGCAGAAAATATCTGCCTGCCTTTAATGCAGTCACTTCCAGTTTCCTTCTCCCCGTTTCTGACTTCTTTTGAGAATAATCCCCAGGTGATTTTGATGCACAAATGGACATGACAAGTACTGAAGTCTGACAGTATTTTACAAACTGTGCATCATGACAAATTTGTGTGTCATGAAGTCAATTTGGTGGGTTGTAACAACTGTATAAAATTAAAATAGAATAAAATATAAACTATCAGAGTGCATTGCATATATTAGGTTGGTTCAAAAGTGATTGTAATTACTTTTAATTGCAAAAGCTGCGGTTACTTTTAATCACAAAAACCATGGTTACTTTTGCACCAACTGAATACTAAGGGTGAATATTTTTCTTGAGGTTTTTGCTTCAGTTAAAATAACATATAAATATGTATATATATATTTATATACATAACATGCACATACATCTATACAGGATCTGAATGAAAATGGATTCCTTGCTGTGATTATGGGTTGAAAATCATTTAGGCCAGGTGCGGAGGCTCACACCAGTAATCCCAGTACTTTGGGAGACTGAGGTGGGTGGATCACTTGAGGTCAGGGGTTCAAGACTAGCCTGGCCAACACAGTGAAACCCCGTCTCTACTAAAAATACAAAAATCAGCTGGTGTGGTGGCAGGCACCTGTAGTCCCAGCTGCTTGGGAGGCTGAGGCAGGAGAATCGCTTGAACCCAGGAAGTGGAGGTTGCAGTGAGCCGAGATAGCACCACTGCACTCCAGCCTGGCAACAGAGCGAGACTATGTCTCAAAAACAAAACAAAACAAAAACAAAATCCTTCTTCTAGGGGTTAGGAATTAACAGTAGGGGCCTGAGAAGGGCAGACTGCACTGTTGTTAGGGGAGAGCCTCACACTGCTGGAAGCGATTCTCCAACTAGTTTCTCCTCAGAGTGTCCTTGATGTGGGGTGAAGAGTCAATTAGAGCTGCAGGAATGGGACAGGCTTTTGGGATGGAATGCCCTACTGGTTTGTACAAGAAAAGAATGCCCTACTGGTTTGTCCTTTAAATGCAGAAAGTCTCATGTCTTTGTGGTTACTATCTCTGCTTAGTAGGCTGGAAGTTTTTCAGCTAATGCCGCTCATGTAGAGACATGTGACTTTGATTTTTACATGACAAACCTGAGATAGTTTGCATAAAGCTGGCTTGCTGTGAGTTATACTGTAATCCTCTCATGGCAACAGACAAGATGTTTCCTTATTTTTGCAGCTGCCACTGACTCTGGTTTGAACCAAACCACTGTCAGCTGCAGAACTGACACAACTATAATTTTTAATGCTAATAAAACGAATATGCTTCAAGAAGATGGGCGAAATAAATTGTACCAAATGTTGAAGTTTTATTTTTTCTGAACAATATTTCTTAGTACTTTGGGAAGTCAGTTTCACTTTGAGTTTTACTTTGGGGAGTTTCTTTGAATTATTCCCGTTTAACAGGGCAAAGATGAATTAATACAACCTGGCATATGAGCCCACACTGTCAAACCTGAGGTTTAATGAGGTAGCTATTACTTGAAAACAAAACAAAATAAATGCCAAATGCCCTTTTAAATCTGTTCTTAGAAGAAAGAAAAATTAAAGGATTCACAGTAATGTTGGGCAAAATATTGTTGTTGGTATTTTCCTGGAGGCTCCATCACGAGTTCTATAAACATATTGCCCAATACTTCCTCCCCTTGCCAAAGTCTCTTCTAGCTAGGAGTATACATGTGCCCCCAAGGCTGCCTACACATGTCCATTGTGATTTAATCACCTTATTAGTGCTTAGACTAGAACACTTCTCGCTTCCCTAAAAATGCTCTTCTTTGTAAAATAGGTACCCATCAAATTGAGGTTTTCAAGTGGTACCACATTAAGAATAATACAAAATCTTATTCCAATATTTTGAATAAAGTTATTAAACTGGAAGTATTAGGTAAAAGATTGTAGAGGTCAAATTTAACCTGCTGTCTCCCTAAACTCCTCCCTAACCTCATCCCAGATGATGTCATAAAATCACGGAAGTTCATTAGCTTATTCATTTTGTTCAAAATTGTTTTCAAGTTCTGCTAAATTAATAGGTAGTCATTTAAGTCTCATATGTGAAGATCTGTTTGTGTAGTGGTTGAAGGCTCACTCACTATACAATTGCATACAAACAGAGTAGGGATAAACAGCTTCCACAGTATTTCTGGTCTTGCTCAGTATCTGATGAAGTGAAATCTCCTACAACTACCTAATAGACAAGGCTAGTAATTTTTGGTTCCAAAAAGTAGGTTAAAATTCCTATGTACTAATAAATTATAAAATGCATTTTCTACTACTTCTTCCTTCTTCCCTTTTGATTTAAATACTCATAATAAAAATCCAAAAGAGAATAAACATTTAAAAGCAATAATAATTCCTTGTTACTAAAATATTAATGAAAACATAGCAAAGTTTACATTTTTTATCATAATTTCATGTGTCAAAATAACCTAATAATCATAGAAAAGTTTGTTGTGAGATTCTCATGAATAGAGTTGATACCATTTGACTCTTCTGCTGTGGTTGCCACTATATAACACACACTATAGGTGTGTTATAAAGAATGAGCTATGCTACAATGAAATAAAAAAGAGTGAGATAAGCTTACTTCTTTCTTAATGTTTATTATTACAAAGCCACACATGAAACTTTTTTTTTTGAGATAGCGACTTGCTCTGTCATCAAGGTTGGAGTTCAGTGGCATGATCACAGCTCACTGCAGCCTCAACCTCCTGGGCTCAAGGCATCCTCCCACCTCAGCCTCCCCTGTAGCTGCAATTACAGGTACGCACCACCACACTCAGCTAAGTTTTAAATTTTTTGTAGAGATGGGGCTCTCACTATGTTGGAACTCCTGGGCTCAAGCAGTCCTCCTACCTCGGCCTCCCAAAGTGCTGGGATTACAGGTATGAGCCATCACATCTGTCCCACTTTGTATTTTTAAATGGAGGTCAACCCATTCATTGGCAAATGATCTTGTTGTATGTAACAAATTGATTGTGTCAGAAGCTTTAATTAAATTGAATATGCTTAGATTAAAAAAAAACCCTACAAACAATATACAGGTTCCACATACCATCACTGCCAATAATGCAATTTGTCCATTCATGAAACTTATAAAAACATATCTATTGCGATTATACTGCATGCTTTTCTCCATATCAGAAATAAAAAGCCAAATATTAAACTTAACTAGAATATAATTTGTGCTGTTAGAAATAAAACTTAAACAAAAACGAAAAACCCAAAACAACTCTACTGATGTCAGGAATCCAAGACAAAAGAAGGATACCAGGTGATGTATTCATGGCCTAATTATGGAGTAAAATCTGCTGATAACTCCGTGATTCTATTGAATTTGCTCCTCCCTGAGCAAAATTCATTCTTCTAACATTTGTTCTTGCGTGTTGCCCCTAATATCTATATTCTATGCATGTAGAATATTCTGAAACAGTATTTACTGTACAATATTATAATAGCTTATTTACTGTTTGAGTCTTTAATTTCTTGAAGAGGCAGATTATACCTTATTAACCTTTGTATTCAGTGGCTGGTACATAATAGGAATTCAACTAATGGGTATTTTTTAGTCTATTAATAAGCTCAAACTAATGCACACAAATAATATACATTATCTACAAATACATTATAATATACATATGCACATACAATTGTTTCTTGGTTTCCATGGGTCATCAGTTCCAGAACCCCCACACCAAATTCCCAGATACTCAAGCCCCTTCTATAAAATGATGTAATATTTACATGTAGCCTATGGACATCCTCCCATATACTTTAAATCATCTCTAGATGATATACAATACCTAATACAATGTAAATGCTATGTAAATAGTCATACTGTACTGTTTTTAAACTTTTATCGTTTGTTATTGTATTGTTATTTGATTATTATTTGTTGAATGTATTCTATTTGTGATTCAATTAAATCCATGGTTGAACCTGTGGATACGAGAGCTAACTGTACATAGATACATATACATACATATATAATACCACCACATTTACAAATAATGAGATAGCCCATCAAAGGCATTGTTCTACCAGAGATTAAATTTGTGTGTGTGTGTTTCTTTTTTTTTTTTTTCTTTTTTGAGATGGAGTCTCGCTCTGTCACCCAGGCTGGAGTGCAATGGTGTGATCTCAGCTCACTGCAACCTCTGCCTCCCAGGTTCAAGCGATTCTCCTGCCTCAGCTTCCCAAGTAGCTGGGCTTACAGGCACCCACCACTACGCCTGGCTAATTTTTTGTATTTTTAGTAGAGACGGGTTTCACTATGTTGGCCAGGCAGGTCTCGAACTCCTAACCTCAGGCGATCCACCTGCCTCGGCCTCCCAATGTCCATTTCTCTGTTTTAACAAGAAAAGTTGCCAGCAATCTCAAGGTGCAGGTGAGGACAGGAAATCATTCTGGGAGTGCTGAGTGGAGTGTCCCTTTGAAAGGGAATTCTAATAGTTCTGATTATAAGTAGCTCTAGCAGAATGCATGTGGTTGCCAGGGAGAAAAGGAATATGAGGATTCTAGGTTTATGGGGAGGTAGCTGCTAGAAATTTGAACTAAAAGTGATGAGTGCTTAAAGCTGTACCCTTAGGAGATCATGTGTGGGGCACTCTTTACCAATTATACTATAAGGAAATGGAATCACCTCTCACAGCAGAGCACAGGCACTATCTGTCAGGATGTTTGGGAGAATAAAATAGCACATGGCAGTGAGAAACAATAAAATTGTGACTTGATCAAATTGGTATTATCTTCTCCTGCTGTGAGTAAAATGGAGCAAGAGCCCTTTATAACAATACCTAGAGAGTATAGACCTTTAGGACATGGGTCGCATACTGGACTATCTGCTAATAGTGCAGGAAAAAAAATAAATAAATTTAAAAAGAGCTGCAATTGTATTTGTAACTAAAGTTATGAAGCTATTCCTTTGAAAGATAAATGTGTGTGTGCATTTAATTTTATTTACCAATAGTCAGAAATATACAAATAAACTTTACTTACATGGTTCACCATAATTTCACTTGAAGAGAAGAAAGATTGCTAGCTTCAAAAGTATCTTTCTATACCATCTTTGTGAGGAAGATGAACACATTTCATGGTTAAAATATAGATTTTAAAAATACTGGAGTCTTATTTTCTATGAGAATTGCTGAATTATCACTTAACTACTTGAGAAATGTTCACTTTTTGCCAAAGCCTCCACAGTACTTTGGGAAGAATCTGCAGTCTGCTGGGAATCTTACTTCTCTGGGACAAAGGGAGTTAAAGACCTTGTGCTCCTCAATACATTTGACATTCCAAGAAATTTTGTAATAAAAGAGGAAGCAATTAATCTATGAAAAATATTTCATAAAGAGAAAAGCACTTATACTTCTTTCAGGAAAAAAGAAGTTGTCAAACTCCACATTAAATGCATTGTAGATGAAATACACTTGAGCAGGAAGGGAGGAGAATTAGGAGCAGTGGTCAAAGGGCCCTGGAGCCTAGAAGAAAAGAATCTGATGGAGCACAGCTGCAGCCAATCCGCATAACGTTCTCTCCAAGGAAGGAAACTGAGCGATAATGCCAACCAAACAATGTTATCACAGTGGCCAACTGCTAGTTGCAAAAGGCCAAGGCAAACTGAGATATTTACATTCAAGAGTAAAACAATTATCTTGCATCTTATTTCCATTTTCATTTCCTGTTCATACTGTCTAACTAAGTGAGAGATAAGGGTAACATTTTTAATAACAGGAGTTCCAAATAATTTCAGAGAAAATGAAATATTTACCAAAAATTTAGTGCTTCAAGGGGGCAAATTCCTCTAAGCAACTACATGGACAGTGCTAGATATAGGGCATATACTCAATCAAGAGCATTCGAATTCAATCAACAGATTACTAAATATTTATTGAGTTACCTACTAAGATGGGGCTTAGGCTAAAGTCAAATCCCAGCTCTGTCCACTATACTCACACAGCACTTTCAAAATATTTTCAACATCCACCCTCATGCCACAATAATTACTTATTTATGGGTCTATCTTTTAACTACAGTTTGAGGTGCAGGAAGATAAATGCCATGATTAAATAATTATTATATCTCAATTAGTTTGCTCAATGCTGTACAGACATGGTAGCTACTAAATAAATATTTTGTGAATTTATTAAAAATTAATACATATATTAGTTTATTGTCCTTATTTCCTAGGCTTGCCTTCATTGCTGTGGTTCTGTGTAAATTTGCTCAAGCTCTTCATGCTCTATTTAGAATAACACTGACTTCACAGGATTTTTTTTTTTTTTTGCTCAAACGTGTCTTTATTTTGCCTTCTTTCTACTTTAAAAATATCAGCTTTATTCAGTTATAGTTTACATACAATAAAATCCAACACTTTAAAATGTACATTTGAATAGGTTTTGATGAATGCATTTAGTCATGTAACCGCTACCACAATTTATATGATTAGGCTTTGTTTCCCCACCAAAATCTCATCTTGAATTATATTCCCCACAATCCCCACATGTCAAGGGAGAGACCAGCTGGAGGTAATTGGATCATGGGGGTGGTTTCTCCCATGCTGTTCTCATGATAGTGAGTTCTCATGAGATCTGATGGTTTTATAAGTGTTTGGTAGTTGCTCCTGCGTTCATCATCCTTCCTGCTGCCTTGTGAAGAAGATGCCTTGCATCTCCTTTGCTGTCCGCCATGACTGTAAGTTTCTTGAGGCCTCTCCAGGCATGTGGAACTGTGAGTCAATTAAACTTCTTTCCTTTATAAATTACTCAATCTCAGGCAGTTCTTTATGGCAGTGTGAAAATGGACTAACAGTCATGATATAGAACATTTCCATCAATGCGTAAAGTTTCCTTATGCCCTTTTGTAGTTAATTCTCTCTTCCAGCTCTGGCCTCTGGAAACCACTCATCTGCTTCTGTCACCCAAGGGTCATATAAGCAAAATCATACAGTATGTACTTTTATTTAGCATAATGCTTTTGAGATCCATCTTTGTTGTTGCTCGTATCAGTAGTTTGTTCCTTTTCATTGCTAAGTATTTCGTTTTATGGATATAGTATAATGTATTTATCCATTTCAAAGTTGATAGACATTTATTATTTTGGCTATCATAATAAAGCTGCTACAAATATTGCAGTAGATGTTCATCTAAGCTTAGGTTTTTATTTCTCTTTGATAGATACCTAGGAGTTGGATCACTAGGTCACATGGTAAGTGAATATTCAACGTTATAAGAAGCTACTCATCTGTTTTCCAAAGTGACTATACAATTTTGCATTTCTACCCACAATGTATGAGAGTTCCAGGTGCTCTTCATCCTTGTCAACATTTGGTATTGTCAGTCTTTTTCATTGTAGCCGTTCTAGTGTGTGTGAAATGGTATCTCACTTTGGGTTTAATTTGGAGTTTTCTAATGGCTAAGAATATGAAGTATCCTTTCATACGCTTATTTGCCATTCATGTATCTTTGGAAAAGTGTCTGTTCAAATCTTTTGCCCATTGCCATGTCATCATATTACTGAATTGTAAGATTCTGTATACATTCTGGAATATGTCTTTTATCAGATATGTATTTTGAAAATGGCTTTCTTTCAATCAATAGCTTGCCTTTCATTAAGTGTAATTTGAAAAAGAGCAAAAGTTTTTACTTTTAGTGAAGTCCAAATTATCAGTTTTCTTTTTATTTAAGGTTTATCCTTTTTTATGCACTAAGAAATATTTGCTACCCTAAGATCAAAAGATGTTCTTCTGTTTTTTTCCCTAGAACTTTAATAGTTTTAGCTTTTACATTTAAGTCTATGACCTATTTTTAGTTAACATCTGAGTATTTTGTGATATAAAGGACACAGTTTCTCTCTCTCTCTCCGTATGGATATCAATTGTTTTAGCATCATTTGTTGAAAGAACTAACTTCTCTTCATTGAATTACCTTGAAACATTTGCCAAAAATGAGTTTATGTACACTTGTGGATCTATTTCTGATATCTCTATTTTTTTCGTCCACATGTTTATTCTCATGCCAATCACATACTGTCTCAATTACCAGCTTTCCAGTGTCAAAATCAGGAAAGATAGATTCTCCAACTTTGTTTTCTTTTTTTACAATTGTTTGGGCTATTGGATGATTTCCACACTTTTCTATTTTAGGTACAATGTCAAACTCTAAAATATAGCTTGCTGGGAGTTTAGTTAGAATTGCACTGAAATCTATAGATCAAAATAGAGATAAGTGACATCATAACAATATTGAGTCTTTCAAACCATATACATGCTCTAACTTCCTATATATTTAGTTCTCTTTAAATTTGTCTAATGATATTTTGTCACTTACCAGATCTTGCATATGTTTTATTAAATTATGTGTACACATTATTGATACTATTCCAAATAGTATTTAAATATTTTTAATTTCCATTTTTTGCCAGTAGTAACAAGGTTTCTATATAGATCTTAAATTCTAAACAATTTAGCACTTGCTAAATTCTCTTATTATTTCTAGTAGCTTTTTGAGAATTAGGATTTTTGACATAGCTAATCACATTATTTATGAATAAAAAGAATGTTACTTCTACCTTTCTAATTCATCTAGAACTTCCAGTAGATTGTTGAATAAAAGAGATGAGAACCAACTTCCTTGACTTGTTATTGATTATAGAAGAAAACCATTATATATTATATGTTTATGGTAAATGGTTTTTATCAGGTAGAGGAAGTTTCTTTATATTCCTAGTTTATTGAGCATCTTTATCATGAATGAAGGTTGAATTGTGTCAAATGGTTTACTGTATCTGCTGAGAAGATCATATATTTTTTCTTCTTTAGTTTATTAATATGGTCAATTGTGATAATTGAATATCAAGTTATAAAATTACCTGATATCCCTGGGATAAACAAAATTTATCATCCTTAACAAAAATTTATCATCCTTTAAGATGATTTCTGAATTCTATTTGCTAAAATGTTCTGAAGAATTTTGTGTTTAAGTCCACAAAGTATATTGGTCTATAGCTTTCTTTTCTTGTCATGTCTTCGAGTGGTTTTGGTATTTGGATAATTCTGGCCTCATGGAATAAGTAGGAAAGTGTCCTCACCTCTCACAGTTTCTCATAGCATCATTTGAAAAAGTAAATTCCACAAGTACTATAAATTTAAGAATAAACACTATAAAATGAGACTGGAGTTCTGTGTTTTATGCTTTACAAAATATACCTTATAATGTTTCATATAAAAGATGTATATATCACAATATGAAATTACAGTTGAATATTAAAATTAATAAAGCATGTTGTCCAGATATTTTTGCTGTGCATTTTACAAAATGAATTCTGCATCAAAACAACCTGAAAGGGAAGCCCTTTTACATAAACAATTTAATAACAATATTTTGAAACCAAGCCTATATTATATCAACAAATAAGGCTAATGGGCACAGTATGGACAGGGAAGTAAAGATATGCTGAATTTCTCATATATAGTTAAGCAAAACATTTTCATTCCTGGCTTTCAAACTTGTAGAAACAAGATTACAATGTTTTTACAATGCTTAATTTTTTAATTGTTCATTTTTATGGGTATGTAATCACTGTATATATTTATGGGGTACATGAGATATTTTGATATAGGCATACAATGCATTAAAATCACATCATAGTAAATGGGGGTAACCCTCACCTCAGGTTTTATAATGCCTACTTTTTATAACTAGTAGAACTAAAAGTGATTTATGCAACTACCAAATTCTTGTGGAGTTTAAAAGAAAATAAAAATGATCCATATGTTGTATGTATGTGTGTGTTTGTGAATCCGTCCACACATACATACTAGTGAGCAAAACAAATAAAACCCAGGATGAGAACTTCAATTTTAAACATAAAGTTATGAACAAAATTAATCAATTTTAACCCTCAATTAAAGGGAAACAGATAACATTTCTGAAAACACTAAATACTTTTTAAGTTCAAACACAAAATGCCAGAGAATGTTAACAGCAACAACCACCACAACAAAGGGATGTTCAGGAATTATCAAGCAGGGACAAACAAAAAGAAAAAAAAAACAAGTGTGGAAGTTAGAACTTAAGGCAGCCGGGCAAGGTGGCTCAAGCCTGTAATCCCAGCACTTCAGGAGGCCGAGATGGGTGGATGGCTTGAGCCCAGGAATTCGAGACCAGTCTGGACAACATGGGGAAACCCAGTCTCTACAAAAAATACAAAAATTAGCCAGTTGTGGTGGCACCCCCCTGTAGTCCCAGCTACTCGGGAGGCTGAGGAAGGAGAATCCCTTGAACCTGGGAGGCAGAGGTTGCCAGAAAGTTGAGATTGTGCTACTGCACTCCAGCCTGGGTGACACAGCGTGACTCCATCTCAAAAAAAAAAAAAAAAAAAGAAAGAAAGAAAAGAAAAAGAACTTAAGGCAAGAAAGACTGAAAGGATAAAAATCCTTAGAAAAAAATTAACCAAACACAATTGTTTTGAGAGACATTACACTCCTATCTCAGCTTTTAATAGGTTAAACTGACATAAAAAGAAATAAAGGTATAGAAAATTTAAGTTAATTGAAAATTAAGTTAAAGTGTTTATGAATGTGTATATATCTACACTCACATATGTATACATAATACCACTAATTATAACCTATAACTTACTTAAGATATTTTTAAACTTTTTTAAAGGAATAGTGTAATGAACCTCCATGTATTTGTCACTCATCTTCAATAGCTATTAATTCATAATCTATGTCGTTTTATTCTTCTCTGGATTATTTTAAAGCAAACCCAAGGCATTATATCATTCCAACTACTAATATTCACTCTTTATCTCTAAAACATAATTTCAATAACACTATTACATTTAAAAATTAACTGTTATTACTAAATATGATCAATTTTTTTTTAGTGATTAAATGTTTCCAGTTAACTCATAAGATTTAAAAAATTTATTTGTTCAAATCAGGATGATTGCAAATTTAAAAGAAAGTAACACGTACAAGCAGAAAACTACATACCCAGAATCACAGAAAATATATTAAAATGCTAACAATATTCATTTCTGTATGGCAAAATTTGAGCTTTTAAAATTATCTCTTTATGACACCTAAACATTCTTAAAATTTCCTAATAATAAACAGGAGATCATTTCAGTCATTCATTATCATCATTAAATAATGACACATTTAAATAAGATCAATTTCACCCAGTTAAGAATGAGGGCCAAGTTGTTACTTAGCTGTTGCTGTCTGTTTTCTACTACATTAATTTGTGAAGGATTTGTCTATGTATAAAGTGAAAATTAAAATAGAAAGGATCATAAATAAAATACACATTTTCTTAGAATATTATTTTATTCCTAAATGGAATTATAAAGCATAATTTCATTAGCCATAATTCTTATTGAGACTCAAAAAGTAACTCTCATTAACCAAGTGCACTGTGTTTTCAGAATTATGAAAACAGCTCAGAAACAGTTAAAGTGACATTAGTAAAAAGTATGTGTATTTGTATTACTATGATATTTATATTCAAGAAGCTTATATCAGGAAATAGTCTAGATACTCAGTGGTATGTTTGAAGCATAGGTCTGTTTCATGTCTTAACCCTGCTGAGCTGATGTTCCTGGATGAAACCAACTGCACTTAAACTCCTGTATTTATTTTTCTGTCTCTGGGCCCTGTCTGAGGCTTCTTAAGATGTTGTTACAATAATCTACTATGTGGAGTGTCTGGAGGTGTCTCTTACTTCTCTGGCATTAAGAGACAGTGATTCGTTGGAAAGCAGAATTTCAAATATGTGTAATTTTATGAGATACAGAAACTGCCATCCTTCCTCTTCCTCCTTGTATATGCACACACACACACACATACACCCCTTCTTTGTTCTCTGAGGGTCTCCAATGACTCTAAGCATCTAAGGACATTTCACTTTATATTGAGCTCAAAGTTTTGGATGAGGAGAAATACTTTAGAGAGGGAAAATAGAGACATATCTCATTCTGCATTTTTTCCATCTTAATTTGTACTTTATCCACATATTTCGAACCCTTTTCCAGGCTCCTATTTTTCTCACAATGCTACTCTGTTGTTAGTAATCTAATGTGCCATCTTTCCCAGGTGTTCATAAATTTAAAATCTGGATTTGATTGGCATTGCAAGAAATGCATACTTAACGAAACTTCAGTTCTAGAATTTGAGATTCACTCACAGACAAGTTCGGGAAGGAGAGTAGAGTGGCACTGGTATATTTCGGGCCAGCAGAAGGGGAAATTTCCATAGTTTCCCTCAAATTATGCAATACTAGTAGTAATTAATGCTTCTAGACCTGGGTACAGAAATACTTTAGATTAGCTGATCTTCTAGAACACTCCTCTCTATCTCTGGTAGGTTCACTTACCCAAGGGTGTGTACACGTAGGGCAGAGGTTTTGAACTAGTAGGTCTGGGTGACATTCTGTAGTCTGCTTAAGTGACTGCTTATGTGTACAACTTAAGGGACAATGATGAAGACTGAGGGTCCCAGGCACCTCTCTGGGACCTCCAGTGATGCCTGCAGTAAGCATCATTAGAGTAATTTCATTGAGAATGCAGTGCAGTCTTTTTTTTTTTTTTTTTTTTTTTTTTTTTTTTTTTTTGAGATGGAGTCTCGCTCTGTCGCCCAGGTCGGACTGCGGACTGCAGTGGCGCAATCTCGGCTCACTGCAAGCTCCGCTTCCCGGGTTCACGCCATTCTCCTGCCTCAGCCTCCCGAGTAGCTGGGACTACAGGCGCCCGCCACCGCGCCCGGCTAATTTTTTGTATTTTTAGTAGAGACGGGGTTTCACCTTGTTAGCCAGGATGGTCTCGATCTCCTGACCTCATGATCCACCCGCCTTGGCCTCCCAAAGTGCTGGGATTACAGGCGTGAGCCACCGCGCCCGGCCGCAGTGCAGTCTTAATGGGATGAAAACATTAAGCTATTAAAACCAATTGAAATAATTTGATTGTTCAGTTTTTAAAAATTAGCTTACAGTCATCTAGAGTAAATGGGGCACAAAATAAATATGTTTAAGAGGTGAAGAAGGGAGTTTGGGAAATTGTGTATTATCAGAAAAAGTGTTGCAGGAATTCCTGACAAACCCTGACAGCACAGGGATGGTGGCTTTCTTGAGAGAGTACTGCCTAATTAATTAATTCAATATTTTGCTAGCCTCCTTCTGATGAATTCAATTCAGTAATGTGTTTCTCTCAAAATAAGTCTAAAGTTTTGTGCAGTTGTTCTCCTAGTCCCCTTCTCCTCCTGCTGCTTTTCTTTTAGTTTCTCAGTTTTGTTTCTCTAACATAGTTTATCATGTTCTGGTGATTTTAAACCTCAGAAAATAGTTTGAACATGGAACAAAGTAAATGTCTTTGGTTGTACAGACTGTAAATATTTCCACATAAAAAATGAAATGCTTTCATATTTTGAGTTCAAGTTAGATGTAAGCTGTATAATAAAATACAATAATTTGAACATATAACATCCTTGTTTATACAACTGAGCTGTAAAGTTTGATATATACAGAAACAGGTCTTAGCTGAGCAAAGCCTTTATTTTGGTTTGTTTCGGGAATATGATCCCCTCCTGTCTGTGTATTTTGAGGGCCTGAATCTGACTCTCAAATAAACCCCAAAAAAGAGAAATATGGTAGCAGAAGAAAGTTAACTTCTCTGGAACCATTACCTTAACGACCTTGCTTTAAGTGGTATCTAATACGTGACCTCCAAAGACTGAAACGTACTACAGGCTTTTGAAACAACAATGAGGATTTCTAGTTTAGTAAGGCAAATCAGAAATGCTGGTTCATGACCCCAGCTCCCAATCACAGCAATTTCCCTTGACTTCCAGTTATGATATCCATGAATGTACATATAAAAGACCAAAACTGGTACAACTCTATGAAGTAAAGATAAACAAAAAAAAAGCATAAAAAATTCAAGTGAAATGGACAGTAACTGTAGTTTTTGTAGCACAGTAATGTGCCCAACCTTAATGCTCCGGAATAGAAAAGATAGCGCCAAAAGTCATCAGGACTCCCATATGCCCAGTTTCTATGCCTGACTCTGAAAAGAGTGGCACAGCCCAAGTCATGCAGTCTTTAATTTGGGCCATCTTGTGGATTTTCGTCTTTATGTAAAGTACATGGAGAATCTATTGAAAGGTTTTGAGCAAGAGAATGATTTACTCTTTGAAATCTTCACAGGGACTGCATTATAGAGAGTTAGTTTCATAAAACAGAAAGAATGTGTTCAGGACCAGTAATAGATTGGGAGGATGACAATAATGGAGACTGGGATGAATAGAGAGATTTAGGCAGTATCTATGAGCTGGTAAAATGGAGAACCCTTGAAGATCAATTAACTGTAAGTAGTGGCAGAATAAGAGAAGTAAAAGAAGAAAATAAACATATTCTTATCTAAATGCTACAAGAAAATTATTTAATCCAACCCAATATCCCTTCCATTGAGCAAGAAATAGAAGCAAGCTTATAGAAAACATCAATCTTAAAAGAATAGCCAACTTCATATCATACAATATAGTTTTAATTCTCAAATGCCTATTATGTCAGTATTTAGTGTTCCTGAAATCAAGTGTGCCCTACAATCACTGGAAAATTAACTTGCTGTCCATCAATCAGAAGACTATTATATATGCTATATTAACTGAGTAGAACAAATCTGTCTTTGAGGGAGATTACTCAGCCTCTACTTGCCTATTTCCCTTTATAGCTGAGAAAGATAAGATCCCCTGTCTGAAGTTAAATGCTCATCCATTAGTCTAGGCTTACCTTCTTCCTATGATATTTCAATTCTTCTGTTTAGTGAAGTCAGACAGAAGTAGATTCACATTCCACATTTACTCCTTATTATTTATAGCACCTTGACAAGATAACTTCATCTATCAGAACATCAGTTTCATTATTTTATAGCAGGGATGGGTGAACACCTAGGGGTTGTTTTGGTGTTTGGGAGGAATACATGTATACCTTATATTAGATAACTGTTATATAACTGATGCATTATAGCTGTTCAATAAATGGCAGTTATTTCACCAAGATACTCCTCCACCAATATATGATGCAAACTTTTTTGCATCATATAATATTATAAATAATATTATCATATTAAAATTAAGTTAATATATATCAAACTCTACTCATCATCACCTCACATTTTTTTCTATGGTAATTTCATTTTTTGATTGCTTTATTCTAATAATTGTTGTAGAATTTCTATCATTCTTTGATGTCCTTCACCTTACTACAATTCCAACATCTGCTCTGTTGCTAAGTTGTAATGCTTAGATCTCCAAAATATTGCTTATATTTGTCTCTGCATTTCCATTTTCATTTATTTTAATTTAAGTCACCAGCAACTTCAAGTAACTGTAGTAGACACTCAATGAGTTTCCCCCTTGTATAGTCTCATTATTCCCTGCCAGCATCGTTTCTTCCACCTGTGGCCATGTTTTCTGTATATATCTCAAAACCTTCAAGGGTTTCCAATAAACAAACTCATCATTTAAGTCCTTTCATGTTCTGCTTACATTCCATCCTTAAAGTCTATTTTCCCATTCTCCTCCTGCAAAGACATCACAGTTCAATGACACCAGACTACCAGCTGCTTCACAAACACCGAGTTTTTATCTACTTGAGTCTTAGCTCATATTTTCCTTCTGTTAGACATCTCATGTCACTAAAATCACTGACTGAAATCCAAATCCTTACTTAAGGTTAGCTGAAATGCCAGTTCCTTTATGGCAATTTTTTTCTTAGTTCAGCCCACATGAATAACAATAAAATCCTGTCTTCCTCTAAACCTCCACAGCACTTTAGGCTTCACATATATCCCTTGAATTAGAGGAATTTGCACTGTACCTTTACAATTTATGTAATATCTCACCAACCCAGGATTATTATGAAACCCGTAATTACCCTAAAAAGTTAATGCTTTTGTGCCTCTTCAAAAAAAAATATCCTTTAGGTAAGTTTTGGAACTTACTTATTTTTTTTTTTGAAGAGACACAAAAATGTTTTGGAAATTACCTAAAGTTCCATTTATTTGGAAAAGAGCACAAGTGTTGCATGGGGAATGGACAGAGGTAACCCATCATTATTCAAACTGTTCTCTCTAGAAATTGAGTCCCAGACCCCAAAATTATATCTCATTCTGTAAACAAGAGACAACACACTTATCTTAAAATTATTTTAACAGGAGTATATTATTGTTTAAGCATCTTCCCTTGGGGTATTTCTCATTCTTATAGAGGAGGAAAATTTTCTTTTTCTTACTCATCATTAGGTTCATGGCTGAGACACCCATAATAAAATACAGATTAATAAGAGAAAAGCATACAAATTTATGTAATATGTTTCATGTGACAATGGGTACTTCATAGGGGGATGAAGACCCAAACAATCAGAGAAACCTATATATTTTTATGCTAAGTTTGATAAAGAAGTTGACGGTTGTGGAGAAGTATGATTGGACAAAAGGCAATATGATCTAACGGTAATTAGCTGGGGGGGCGTTGGCAAGGCCTGTTTGTTCGGATTATTCTCTGTGTCCCTGTGACTTCAGAGATAAGGAAGTTCTTTTCCTCGGGATATGGGGTGGACACCTCTCACATTAAAGTCTTATGATTTACTTCAGAAGATGGTCAGAGAATTGTTTCATGACCTGCCTCAGAAAGAAAATGTGAGGGGAAGGAGAGAGAGACCATCCCGCGTCTGCTGTTTTCTCCAGTATCAAGATGCCATATTTTGGGATCCTGAATTCCATCACCCTAAACCTCAACTGTCCTATCAAAATGGTTCCCCCTATCACTTACGCTCTTTTGTATAAGGATTTATAATAAACATATTTTCTTTATTACATTTATTTAATTGTGTAATTGTGTGCTATTGTACACCAATTATATTTTAGTACTCTGTATAGATGTGTGTCCTGGACAAGTGGCTGGCTGTCTTCCTTCTACTATATTTTGACCTTTGGAGAACTCTCAGGTCCTGAAAACAATCATTGCAAAAAATATCTCAAGGCTTTGAAGCAAAATACATTATGTCATAAGTAATTACATGTTTTTCATTTCTACCAACTTAATAAATACCTATTCTGGGAAAAAGAAGATGAGTTTAGTAAACATCTGAATAAGATATCTAATGATAAAGAGTGATGGAAGAGAAAACCAATTTAACTTTGATGAGTGCCAATTTATCACCTTCCTTAACAAGCTATAGACCAAGCTTGGTATATCTCCTCATTTCAGTTTTATTATACACTGTGGTAGGTACGTTTCTGGTCATGAACTATTAATAATGCCAATGTTACTTATAAATAATCAACTATTCTGAAATTTTTTTTAACATGCACACATACTAAGGATGTTTGTTTGAATTAGTGTATTCAGTATTTGTGATATGATAGAAGGATGAAAATAGTTCAGATTAATGACTCTCTCATTGCCCATTTTGACAGCCCCTTTTTCAAAGCACCAGTATTACCCACTTAGAAAGTGGATTGATGCCAATGCTTAGAGCACTACTTCTTCCTTCAGCACACCAGATGGTACTAAAAATTCAAAATATTTCCTACAACAGCTGTATCTTTGACAACAAAATTAATACCAGCCAAAATACCACTGCTATGTGAAAGACATAATGATCAGACTCTTCAGTGTAATACAGCTATCCATATTCTAGGGCATAATAAGAAACAACAACAGCAAAACAAAACAAAATCATGATGTGATCAACTCTTGCTAGATGTCCATCAGATGTTCTGTTTAGTATCAAATACCAGAAGCACAGCCCCCAGTCCATTCATCATGGAACAGCTGCTCCTCTCAGAATGTGAATTACACCTTCCCCTGGAGCAACCATTAATCCATTAGCACATTTTCACCACTAAGCTTTCCCAAAGAGCATCATATTTTTATTTTAAACTCTGTCTTTATTTGTTTGAGGAAATAAATATTTTAAGGAGGATTAGACTAGAAATTAATCTTGAAACTCTTCTAGATTGAAATAATATCTTTTTTCTTGTAAGATTAAAAGGATCTTTTGAAAAAGATGAGAATTTTACACCTGGTTTAAAATAGTTTGAAATATGTGATTTGAATTCAACAGCTGAATGGAACCTATACCTCTGATTTGTACATTGCCAGAAAAAACTTAGATTATGAATTTGAAAGAGAAACAGAAGGTAGATGATGATGATGAGTATTAGTCTAAGTGCAAAGGTAATTAACGTGAGGTGTTAATAAACACCTTACAGGAAGATGGAATAATAGTTACAAGAATATAATTCTTTATCTTCTCTTCAGTGTGGAAAATAGTATCCTAGGTATTTGTCCCATTTATGGTTGTAAGAAAATAAAGAAAGCAAAATTCTAAGCTTTAAAAGTGATAAGGTGGATACCGTCAGCTTTTCAAGAGTTTTGCTTCAACAAAAGACTAATTGTTTGCTTATTTTACATAGTGATCTGCCCTTATAAGTTTAAAATGTATGTATCACCTGAAGTAAGAAAATATTGTTATGGTAGAATAGATGATTTTTAAACCATCTTCTATCTTCAGGATCTAAAGAGAGAGGTTTACTGAGGTACTAACAATGTATATATTAGAAAAATGTCTTCATTTGCATTTTTGGTCATTAAGAATCACATAAATCAGATTTCCTCAGATATACTTTTAATGATAATTAGTTGGCTTACTAAAACGTAGATTCAAAACTGCTACTAGCTGAAGCTGGTTGGAATGACAGAAATTTATTGGTAAAATGCACAGGAAAAAATGCAAAGACTTAGAGAGAGAAGGAATGACCCATCCCTCCCCCCAGCAAATGTTGTTCCCTGAGGATTTATAAGACACTCTCTTTTCAAGGTTTTGAGAAATCCACTGTTGAGGGAAACACCAGCATTTTTGAAAAAGCACTTTAGTGGAGTTTTGTTTTCAGAGATGTTAGTAGATGTTGCATTTGAAATTGGCTCCCTGATTTTAATGAAGGTAGCAGGATCCCTGGATGGTAGAGGCCTAGAAGTACCTAAAGAAAAGAACAGAGGATGTAATTAGTAGAGAAAATAGCGTAGCCAGCATGGTAAATCAAAAGGGTTTGACCTGAAGGAATATTTGCCATGGCTAATAGATTACAGGTTCCATAGAAATAAAATAGATGGCTAGACCACTGTATTAGTTTTTCATGGTTGTTACAACAAGTTACCACAAACTTATTGGCTGAAAACAACATTCACCATCTTATTGCTCTGTTAGTTCAGAAGTTCAAAATGAGTGTCACTGGGTTAAATCAAGGTATTGCCCAAGTTACATTTCTTTCTGGAGACTCTAAGGGAATAATAATTTTTTTGCCCTTTCCAGATTCAGGAGGATAACTATATTCTTTGGCTCCCAGTCTCTTCCTCCCTTTTCAAAGCCAGCAACAGTGGGTTGATTAATTTTTATCGCATCACATCTCATCACCCTAACCTCCTCTTGTGCCGACCACTTCCACATGTAAGGACCCTTCCGATTACATTGGACATGCCTGGATTAAGTCCAGAATGATCTTTCAATTTTAAGTTAAGCTGATTATATCATGTAACTTACAAATGTAACTTAAATGATTACATTTAAGTTAAACTTAATTCCATCTATAAACATTATTCCCCTTTGCCATGTAACCTACCATATTCAGAGTTCCTAGGATTGGGATTATGGGGTTCATTATTCTGTCTATTACAACCACTAAAGTCATCCTTGATATGTAAAACCTAAATAATTCCACTTCAAGCAAAGAGAGGTCTAACCAGCATAATAAAGAATGTTGTACACTTAGCCAGTTTTCATACCTGACTTTGTTGAAATGCATGAAGTTCCTTAAGTAAAGGGGTGAGCTAGTTACCACCAAAGTAGGATTTAGGATATTCAGAAAATTAAATAGAATTTTGAACTGAGCAAAATATACATTACACAGTCCATCATGCCAAGTTTCACTTTGAACCAATACTATGATTCTTCACTCAATTCTTGAAGGTATGTCTGGCAATGATATTTCTAGTATCTGTAAGCCTCATTTGACTGTGTGTGTAGTAAGAACTTCATTGAAAGGAAGAACCAAGTGGAAGTTCTTAGAGCTTCTCTGCCTTAGCAAAAGAGTAAGTAAAAAACCAGTAGTGTATCCCTGATGGAATTATGAAGCTTAAAGCTACCATCAAAGACAGCTGGAAAGATACAAGGGTGTCTGCTGTTTGCGGTGGCTCGCGACTGTAATCCCAGCACTTTAGGAGGCCGAGCTGGGTGGATCACGAGGTTACGAGATCAAGACCATCCTGGCTAACATGGTGAAACCCCATCTCTACTAAAAAAAAAAAATACAAAAAATTAGCCAGGCATGGTGGTGGGCGCCTATAGTCCCAGCTACTCGGGAGGCTGAGGCAGGAGAATGGCGTGAACCCGGGAGGCAAAGCTTGCAGTGAGCCGAGATCGCACCACTGCACTCCAGCCTGGGCAACAGAGTGAGACTCCATCTCAAAACAAACAAACAAACAAACAAACAAACAAAACATACAAGGGTGTCAATCTCTATAGTATCCTCTTTTAACTCCTGAGTTTCTATGATACGAAAGACAAATTTAACCAGGAGAATAACAATGGGTTATCAAAATGCTAATCAGGTCATGATTTTTGAAAAAATCAATATATCTCTAGCAAATGACATACAGCTGAGAAGGTCAAGCCTTTTTTTTTTTTTTTGTTAAATAGCATGCTTTGACTTGGCAGTGACAGCAGTATACTACTTTTATCATCTTGCTCAAGGTTATATCAGCTCAGTGGCATAATTTACTCTTCAGTATCTTTCTCTACTATACTACAGAATATCATCATAGGTTTCCTATACTGATAGGATTTTCAGAGAAGAATTCTAAATGCCATATATATATATATATGCCAGAGAGTAGGAGGAAAATACAGATTATTCACCCCAGTGATGTCTCTTGGGGTATAGATCAGAGCCAGATGGTACATATTTTAGGCTTTGAGGTGAAAAGTCAATATGAAATATATTATGTAGGTACCCATGGCTTAACAGTGAGCCCTTCAAGTAGTGCTCACAGGCTGTTAACAAGCAGGTGGCAGGCTAGATTTGACCTGCAGTCTACAGTTTTCCAACCTTTAGTCTATATCACTGAAGTATATAAGGACATCCCCATCAAAACTAGGAAGTCGTTCCAGTGTCTTATGCTACTAAGACAGAGACATAGTAATTGGTAATTTCTTTGCATTTTAGAGTCAAGATATATTACATCAAAGTGTTAAATATAAAATTTTGACCTTTGGCTTGAAAGGCTGCCAATGTTGATTGGGTTCATAAAATGAGAAAGTATTTCAGTTGGTTCAGGCTTAATGAATGCAGTTTTGCAACTCACTTGACACAGTGATTTCAAGGTTTGTCAGAGTGTTTTTTAGCAGATTAAAAGTCCATGTGATCAAGGGTGAGCATTGGAGCAAGTTAAGGAAAAAAAAAAAAAGAAAGAAAAAGAAAGAACGAAAAAGGAAGTGAACCAGTAGAAGAGTAGGGGTGGAGAGCCCCATGATTTCAGAGCACAGTCTTATTTTTTTTGGCAACTATTTACTTTTAAAAAACTTTAACTTGGTAGACATTGAAAACTAGGTGACCACGCAATCCAAGGTGCCCAATATGAACTAGATGCTCTCTAATCTACATAGACATAAAGTCATTCCAAGCAGTACTCTAGCAACAACGAAAGTGAAAAAAATGGGACTAGATCTAAACTGTTTCTTTAGAAGCAAATCAGTTGCATAAACCAGTTGCTTATATTTCTTGCTTTTCTATATCTGCTGTTTTGCTAACCCATATTCAAACGCTATGGTTTCTGATACATTTTCCATGATGAGATGACTGATAAAGTTAATTAATTAAGAAAAAATAATTTTATTTATTTTACAAATACATTTTCATGGTATTCTGGCACTGCAGCTTAAAGTGGTCTATTGATGCATTGGAGCCCCATTAAAGTGTGTCCATAGTAGATGCTGAAGAAAGGATATTTGCCCAGCATTAAAAAAACCAATAGAAAGATCTTATTTTTCTCTTAGAGTGGAAGGAGAGATGATGGTCCAAATAAAGGACACATACAAATCTTAAGTCTGTAATGAATGAATTTTCGGAAACAGGGAAATAAAACTCATAGAATAGTCTTAGAATGTATCACATGAGAATGCCCACCAAAAAGCCCATGCGTGTTGACAAGTTCTGTAGATATCCTTGTGCCTCATTTTGTAGTTGTTGCCAGTATGTGCCTGATAGGTTCAAGGCAATGTGGCAGGTGAGTGGCAAAACCGCATGCAATGTGGTCTGGACTGAATGGAGCTCCTTTTGCTCAGGACCCAATCAAAAGGGGCAGGCTTTTAGGTCAAAGGTAAAGTGCTATTCATTTATACCTCCATGTAATACACATTTTCTCCAAAATATGAAGAAGCCCATCTATTATTATGTCTCTTAGTAGTAGAGTGACTTTATGAAAAGGGTCATATTCTCATGTATAAATGGTTTGCAAGAACTCAGCAAAATAGAGTTACTTTCACCAAGGTTGACTCAACTACTGCCATCACTGACTTCTCAGTTTTCAAGTAACAACAACCTACCCTGAGTTCCCATTATCTCAGGACAACTAGTTAGTTACCTGATGGTTGGTTTATTTTAATGAACTGATTTTTTCATAGGTGGAAGTACCTATTCCAATTTGCTCTCATTGAAAGATGTTTATTCTAAACACGAGTTTGTTTTTCCTATCATACTTCTTCCAGCATCATTATCAGTAAATTTCACGAATGCTTTATATGCCGTCATCACATCCCTCACCACATGTCTTCTCCTCACTGTACAAGTAAAGATTCAAGGCCTAGAGCTAATGCCCACAAATTTACTATTCTTATGAAGACTCCATTTCCCATAAGTAGCTGGCCTTACAAAATGGTTGAGTGCTTTATAAAAGACTTATTTATCCCATCATCTGGAAACAATGCCTTGTAATGTTGGGATGCTGTCCTTCAGGAAATGGTAAATGTTCTAAACCAATGACCAATATAATAGTACTATTTCATCTGTAGACATAATTTAGGAATCTGAGAATGAAAAGGTAGACATAAGGAATTTCTCACTGTAATACCAAACAGCCCACTCACAAGATGTTTTTGCTTTCTATCCCAAGATTCTTGGCTCTGTTGTTTTATATTTCACCAAGTGACACAATAATGATTATATTGAATTAGAAAACTGCCAACTTATCATTTTGGGATTTTTTCAAACCATTGAATGAATAGACAAAACCAGATTTATGATGTTCTTTAGGGTCATTGATCCTTATTATCAAGAGGAGTTGGGATTGCTACTATTCAGTGAGGGCTGGGAGGATTATGGATGGAACACAGGTAATCTATGAGATAATTCCTTTTATTGTTATGTCTGATACTAACAGTTGAAGAATATAAGAGGGTTAGCTCTTCATGCAACTGAAATACATGTCAAGGTTAAAGGAACCTGAAATATAAAGTAGAAAAGGGAAGTCAAATATGTAGCTAAGACCCACAAGAAACTGTGGAAATGATTATTGTAGTCACTTCTTATATGCTTTTATATATGTGTGTGTGTATTTATATGTATATGTGCATTATATATGTAGCTAGATATATGTAGATGTATTTATATGCTCATGTGCTTTTATGTGTGTGTACATAAGTTTATATATACAACATATGTGTGTATAGTGTGTGTATATATAGTTTGTGTGTGCATACACATATCTTTACAATTTTTTTCTCTATACCATTATTGTATATAGGGTATATATTAGAGTGGTCATTAACTTTCATTTATTTATTTATTTATTTATTTATTTATTTATTTATTTATTTCAATAGGTTTTTGGGGAACAGGTGGTGTTTGATTACTTGAATAAGTTCTTTAGTGGTGATTTCTGAGATTCTGGTGCAGCCATTACCTGAGCAGTGTACACTGTACCTAATGTGTAGTTTTTTATCCCTCACCTCCCTCCCACCCTTTCCCCTGAGTCCCTGAAGTCCATTGTATTATTCCTATGCCTTTGTATCCTCATAGCTTCACTCCCATTTATGAATGAGACATACGATGTTTGGTTTTCCATTCCTGAGTTACTTCATTTAGAATAATGGTCTCCAATTCCATCCAGGTTGCTGCAAATGCCATTATTTTGCTCCTTTTTATGGCTGAGTAGTAGTCCATGGTGTATATATACATATATATATATATATATATATATATATATATATATATATATATAATCTCACAATTTATTTATCCAAGAGTGGTAATTAGATTTCTAATTTTTTTATAGCTAGTAAGATATTGAATATGATATCGAATCAGTATCTTGACTGAATATTGATTGAATATATTGAAGAGGAATATATATCATCACCAAATTCTGAAGATGGAATTTAGTACACCCCTAATGAGAAATTGAGGTGCTCCATTTGTTAAGAGAGTGATGGAATGTTTGGATTTGTATGAGCAATGACTGTATTTTGTTACAAAGGAATAATTTTTTAAATTAAAATTATGAGCAAAAGAATGATCTTAATATAATGCTAGGATGGACTGACATAAAAATTTGTTGGCTTTTTATGGGGAGAGAGGAGTTAATTGTCTCCTATTATAGGGCCTAAAAGAGCTACGCACTCACTTTCTTACACTCCTGTGCAGAGACCATGAAGAATTCCTTCGGTAGCCGTGGTGGTGACAGAGGCCTTTGGTTTCTAGGGACTGGGTGAGAGGAGTGTCCAGAGCTACAAGGGTGATGTCTAAGAACCAGCATCTGCTGCTCCAGGGATTTGAGCTGGCAGCCAGGGCTCTGCAGCCACAACCCTGTTGTCCTCCTGGCTTAGGTGTGTGGCTTGATTTGGCTGAGATTCTAACTACCCAGCTTCCGTTTGATTTGGGGTTTAGTTCTCCAGGCTTCCACATGATTCTGGGTATCTTTCACATCTTTTTAATAAATTTTTTTTATGCTTAAATGGACCTGAATCAATTTATAATTGTCTTAGGACTCTGTTGAGCATCACAACTCTTTATTCAAAATGTTTTTTCCCAAATGTTATTGTCATCAGACCAAAATGACAAGAATACATTTGGGTTGTTTCCCAGTTTTCTAGTATAGATGTTTATTTTCTACCTCACTGTACTGTTATACTCAATGTAACATTTAGCTTTACTCAAAAGCTCCATTTTGTCTCACACTGAAAATTCCTCAAAGAGGGAGGGATTTATGTAGTTCAAATTAGCTTCCTCATGTCATAAACAAGAAACATAAATTTTGAAGTCAAACAATCTACTGAGTATATCTGATGAAACATAAATCCACTCAAAGTAACAGTAGCTATTATGTTATATTGGGCAAATTTTGTATCTCTAATCACTTTTTTCTGGTTTCTGGAAGTCTAGATTCTTCATTAAAAGAAAAACAAAAAATAAGCAAAAATAAATTAATTCCACAATTTAGAAATTTTTAAAAAATGCATTGTTTCAGTAGGTGGTCTGAGATTAAGCAAAACAAGCTACTCATTTCTGAAAATTCCTGGCAGAGTTTTTCTTTGAATGCTGCTTGGAAATAAATAGTAGCTTTTCCTGTCATCTGCTCTAATGCTCTTGTTTCCAGGGTCACTTATTTGTTTTAACTGAGGCCCTAATTTGTTGTTATTGCAGGGGAGGAAGTTGTCAACATAAACCTATCTCTGCTATTAATGACTATCAACTTTGTGAGGACCTCCTGATAGTATCCCAATTTTGAGATCCAGGCCATTGTCATCATTTTAAACACAATTGCGTGGTTTAAATCATTTTCCATGAACATGTAGGACCACCACTCTCAAATTTTATGGGTTTGTACCAGTGACACAAGAACAGATTGTGCCCTTTTCAGCTGAAGGATAAAGTGCCCACGAGAGTAACACTTACACACCTGCTCGCCATTCATCCAGACAGCAGGCATTCTTTACAGGTTCTTTGGGGATTCAAGATAGAGTCCCAAAGGATAAGGTAAGAATGAAGACATGATCGTTTCTCACAGCGAATGGTATTTGATAGTGGATGTTCAGGAGAAAGATGAAACACACACACACACACACACACACACACACACACACACCCTCTTAAAACAGCTCAACAATGAATGAATGCTCTCTATATAGTAATCATTTTTAGCGTTACTCATTTAATAAATTATAACTCGTATTACAAAAACAAAAAGCAAAATTCTGTTGGTCCCATAAGAATATGACCCCTAAATAAACAGGAGTCTGTATGTGGCACTGTTGGAAAAATTTTGCTTTATTTCAACAAATAAACTAATGAGAAAAATTTTCATACCACCAACTTGCTTTTCATATATTTTATACTCTCTTTTTTCTTGCGTTTAATCAGGTTCCTGATCAGTTGTTTTGACTCCATCAGTATCTCAAGCAGTTATATAAAGGATTAAACAGTATCTTGACAAATATGTTAGAGGACGGGGCCCTGAAATAAAAATTAATGTCACTATGTAGTTTCTCCTTCATTGATTTTTCTGTAATTGTGTATGAATGTCTTTACTTTAAAATAAACCCCCTGTGGGATTTCAGTTTTCTGTTCCTGAGATAAGTATGTAATCAAATAAAGATCAGAAGTAAATATTTTACAGACTTGATATTTTAATAGACTAGATGAATTTTATATTTGTAGGGTTTAATTGGCAACCACTTAAACACAACAGAGGGGAAATCTACATCATCCAGGTAGGTAAGGTTGCTAATACTGGGAGTTAACAGGCGACTATGCACAACTTTCTCCAAGCCATTTTAAAATTAAATTCTGACAACAAACTTAGGAGGAAGGTATTATTGGCTACACCAGAAACAGACATATAAGGGATTAAATAATTTATCAAAAATCACAGGGCTAAGAAATGGCAGAGTCAATAATCAAATCTAGGCATATTTGACTACAAACATATGATATTTCTAGTCTATCGTTCTATCATATTGTCTCCCAGAAATATCTTTATTCCACATTTAATGGACTTAATCATTGTTAAATTAAAAATTTTTTAAAAGCACAGTTAATAGTAACCATAAAAAGTAAGGTAAAAGAGGAAATTGTTATGTATTGAATGTCAAGGGCATTCACATATGTTTTGACAGATTGTTGTCTGGCCTGTTCAATTTAAATGTCACAAAAAAACTCTGAGATAAATACTGTTACCTTATTTTGTAAATGGAGAAACTGAATCTGAAACTGAGAGCTTAAGTTATTTTCACATGATTATACAGCTAATTAGTAAAAGACTTATAATTTGAACCTTGTGAACTTTATAAAGACTGCGCTCTTTCCACTAAGTGATACTGTTTTCATTAATTTTCTAAAAGCAGGAAGGAAGAATAATTTTGCACAGAACTGATACAGAACCAATGAGTAGGGGACTAGGATAATTTCTTCAGTTTTCAAGGTTTTAAAGAAACGTTCGGATTTCAGGAAAAGGTCATAACAAGCTCATAGGATATGTGATATATTTTATCCATGTGTCTAAATTTGTTTTGTTCCAATGTGATAAGTGATATGAGAATGCTAAAGTTAAGTGTTACAAGACCAAATTAGAGAAATAAGAATACCCTAGTGCAGACACACAAATTGTAGTAGTGATATTAAAAACGCATAATTTTAAATCTAGTATTAGATTTAGTATTTACTGAGGACTTCTTACTTTCATATGATATTGCAGGTAATCCTTACAAACACTTAAGATGGGTGTATTTACCAACGGTGTTTATAGACACAATGGAAAGAGAAAAACTTGATTTTGAATGTTCAATCTGGTAGGTCACTGTGGGTCACTGGCTTTATGGCTTAGGGGAGGAAGCTGTTCCTCCCAACAGAGAGTACTTCAAAACTCATCTGAAAAAGAACTGTAAAAAATATAAAAATTGGTTCAAATTTTCGGAATGGTAGTTTGTTAACATATGGCCAAATATACAATTTGAATTTCCATTTATACAGCAATCTGACTCTAAAAAATTAACTCCCTAAGAAGTTAAGCATACAAAGGGCAAAAAAATGGATATCAGTGTGAAAATGTATTAATCCAAAGGACATAATCATACCAATTTTGAAAGTAATCTATCCTTTAGGAATGGGAACAGTTGGATAGAGAATATCACAATAACCCTTTCAAGTTGGGTGGGGTGGGAGAGAAGGAAGACCAAGGTCACAAAGAGAAAGCCATCTGTCACATATTGGGAATCAAGCAGTAATTTGGGGATGAGAGGGCAGGCACAGAAGAATTGAAAGAGGAGCATGATAGAAAGCTGGAACCGGAATTTAAGAAATGACCAAGAATTTTCTAGCAACATGGACACATAATATAAAAAATAGACTTATTTGCCTTGCTATGATACAATTCCCATCATCTCCCCACATCTTCAGTCTTACACAAACGTCTTTCATATGTAGGAGTTTTGGGGAGGATATTCAGGAAGACTTGACTTCTGACCAAACAAAAGAGAGACCATACAAACAGAATAATGAAAATGCTCATTAAACCAAGCCACTGGGGACAGGAACTCAACCCACTCTAATGATGAAAATAAGTACTTCCTATCAATACATAGAAATCTTTGGAGAGGCTTGAACTTCCCATAATTTGGGCAATAGAAATTTAAACAATTATCTCTAGATCTTAAGATGAAGGTTGACCCTTGTTGATCTTTCATTATAGAGTATGCACAAAGGGTGGTAATCATATATTTTTTTTAGACTTAAAAAAATGTGAACCCCGACTCTACTAAAAATACAAAAAAAAAAAAAAAATTAGCTGGGCGTGGTGGTGGGAGCCTGTAGTCGCAGTTACTCGGGAGGCTGAGGCAGGAGAATGGCATGAACCCGGGAGGCAGAGCTTGCAGTGAGCGGAGATAGTGCCACTGCACTCCAGCCTGGGTGACAGAGTGAGACTCCGTCTCAAAAAAAAAAAAAAAAAATTTGAAATTTCCATTCAGCTGGACTGGCAAATTTATACATGGCACATATATTCAATTCAATAATCTATTTTTGACATATCTGACATATTTTTGACTAAAAAATTATGTTAGAGAACTGCATTTATGGTTTGATCTGACATAAAAATAATTCTATAAATTTATCTATACGTGAATATATACATGAATAGATGGCCAAAAGGTGGTTTGTTGAAATGTTAAGTGTTTATTCAGGGTGGGGAATGTAAGATAATCAAGACTATTCTAATTACATTATTTTGAATGATTAAAATCTTACAAACAGCATGCTTTATATTACAAATTTAGTGTCATTTTCAAAAGAAAAAGGAAAGTAAAAAAGAAAGCAAAGGCAAAAAGAATTTGCTTCACATGGTTGATAAATGGTATGTGAAGAGACCTATAAGAGTAATCGCACTTAGTTCAATGTAGGTGCTCAATAAGTCTGAATTTGCCTTGCCTCTCTCCTCTTCTCTCAGCCTTTATTCCTTTCTGTAAAATAAATCAATAATTGTAACCTGGGAATTTATCAGAAACTTCTGAGGAAATTAAAGATCCAACCAAACAAAACGCTAACAATAACAACAAAACAAAAGTAGTTCTCTAAAGTTGTATGCCTAGAGATTCCGACTTGGGTTATCATTTAGATGGGAAAAAATGTTAACTCTGACTTCTAATATCCCATTCATCCATAAAATTCTAGGGTATATTTATTACATTGCCATTCCACTTGCCATATCCAATTATTGCTTCTACCTAGTTGAGTATTGTAAATGTTAAGAATTCTTTGAATACAAGTTGGTATATATTAATGCTTTGGATATCTCTAATTATATTAAATATGAACATATACAATATGTACTACTCAAACAACCATAAAAGAATGCTTATCAGTTTAGGGAGAAAGAAGTTAACATAAAGCTCTGTTTGTAAGAATATTTTAGGAATCACATACTAAGCTTTGGATAAAATTGTATGTTTCAATCTGATATGTATCTTTTAGCAGATTTTAGTATTCTTAACTAAAAATAATAAACCTTTGGAAAATCATAGTATAATAATCTAGCAAAACTGTTGAATATTTTTATTGACAAGATACAAATAGAACTATTTATCTTCATAACCTTTGAAACTGTATCAATATTGTATATTCTAATATTAGATGTTACATATGAGTTATGCCTATGAACAATTTGGAAACTATAGGCTATTTTTTTTTTTTTTTGAGACGGAGTTTTGCTCTTGTTGCCCAGGCTGGAGTGCAATGACGCAATCTCTGCTCACTGCAACCTCCCGGGTTCAAGCAACTCTCCTGCCTCAGCCTCCTGAGTAGCTGGGATTACAGGCATGCGCCACCACGCCCAGCTAATTTTGTATGTTTAGTTTAGAGAGACGAGGTTTCTCCATGTTGGTCAGGCTGGTCTTGAACTCCTGACCTCAGGTGAGGAGTCCACCCTCCTCAGCCTCCTAAAGTGCTGGGATTACAGGCATGAGCCACCGTGCCCAGCCACTATAGACAATTTTTAAGCTAATTTAGGTGCCAATATAGCAAGTTTTAAAAATTTAGATATTTGAGATAAGCAAGGCTTTTAGTAACCTTTTATTTTCTTTCATTGTTGTCTAGAAAAATTCATACTACCAGAACATAGTAGGTGTCCAATCAATCATTATTAAATTGAGCTATGATAGACACTTCTTGTAGTGGATCCTGTCCTAGACAAAGGGGGTACATTTTTTTATAAACTCCAACAAGCAGGTGCCTAACGCAAAATTACAGTGAATATTTGCAAAAGTGCCCAAATCATTAACTATTTCTACAAAGGAACTATGTGCTCATATAAGAAATATCACATTCTCCAGTTTGGACAAATAGTCTGCTTACTCAATTAGTAAAGAAATAGTCTCAGCAAAATTATCTCTATAAATGACTGAAAATTCTGTGTAATAACTTACCTCCATATTTTCTTGACCTTTTAATTTTAGAGCCTTTGTTATCGCTCATATTTGTAAATTTTCCCTTTGATTTTTTTCAGCATATTACATAAATTTGTGTCTCATAATTTCTATATTTAATATTTGAGAGTCAGATACCCTTTGCTCTTTTCTATTGTCTGTCACTCTCAGTGACTTATTTCCTTGTGTGTTTTGTCATTTTGGGGTGTAAACTGTTCATTTTCGTAGAACTTCTTAAACATTAGAAATTTTGTTTCCTCTAAATAGAACTCACTTTTGCTTCAGCAACTTGGCTTTAAACCAAACTGAAATGACTTTCCAGCTAGCAATGTAGAAGCTTAAGATTTCCTGAGCTCAGCTGAAACTCTTAGGGCAAGAGCAATCTTTGGTATTTAATTATCTTACATGGTGTCCGCTTTTACTTTATTTTTGGCTTCTGAAGTTTTCTCTGCCTGCTAATTCAGCAAAGCATTTAAAGTAAAACATTTTAAAGGTATTTTATCCAGCATATTTTTTCCATTGGGAAATTTATTCAGAGAACTTATTCTGTCATATGCTAAGACCTAAAAGTATGATCCTGGTTCTTTTTACAGTTAGTCATAAATTTTTAAGATCAATCCATGTTGTTATATCTCTCCTTAATATCTTCTGACTGGAATGCTTTCCACAAAGGTGGTAGCACATCTGGATTTCCATCTGAGAAAACAATAAACGTCCACCCTTATCTTTCACTGTATACAAAACTTAATTGAAGATAGGTTATAGATGTAGATTATTAGTAGAATCTAATAATATAAAGCTTCATGAAGACAATATAGGATATTATCTTTTTTTAACTTTGGGGTAAAATGTGACACAGAATATATATGCTTTGTGTCCATTTATATAAATTTCAAAAGCAGGCAAGACTAAACAATATATTTTGTATATTCACAGGTTTGCTCAGGTCTGCAAAGAAAATTGGAAAATTATTAATACTAACTTCAGAATAGTGGTTTCCTCTGTTGAGGAGAAAAATGGCATGAATTTGAGAAGGAATACATGCACTTCTAATTCCTGCTAATTCTCTATGTCTTGAATCAAAAGGTGGGTTCATAGATATTTAATATATCATTATTATTTAAATTATACCTATGTTTATATATTGTATGCCACATCTTACAACAAATTTTATAAACAGAAAGAGCTCCATAGCAGAAAATCATGGATGAAAATTTAAAACAAGTACACAAAGCAATTATAGATATAGTCTCCCTTTCCCCATTCCTCCCTATCTCTCTCTCTTTCTCTTACATACACACATACACATCCAAGGATACATCCCAAAAACACCACAGTGAGTCTATTTTCAGGGGAATAGAGGATCAGGAACAAAAAGAAAAAAAAAAAAAAACAAAATGAAATAAACCAAGAGCAATAGAAGCGAAGACCACCAATTATATTGTGTCATAAAGTGGGGAATATATTCAATTTAACCCTTGGTCCTGCCGATGCAGGAAAACATAAGGAAACAGAAAATTCAAAGGAAAATAGAAAGGAATGAGACATTTTCCTTTCAGCGAGGCCTTATTTTATCAGTTTATTTAAACAGCACTTTAAATTCTCCATCAACCACTGTCCTCTACTCACCTCGGTCCATTTTTTCATTTTCTTTTCTTTTTCTTTTTCTTTCTATGGCAGGGATTTCTGTTAGCTTTTTTCACTGAGTGCCTTAAATAGTACCTAGTACATAGCAGAGACTCTATGAATTTTTCTTTTTTGAGTGCATGAAAAAGTGCCTGTTAAAAATGTGGTTGTGAGGTAGAATAGGGTTAGTAACAGAATGATGTAGGACCAGGATTGATTTTTAAAAAGTAAACATGGGAACACTAATTCTTGTTGAAATCTCATGGGAAGGATCCTCTAGAGTGGCAAAGGTTGAAGAAGCACAAGTTAGAAGAAATGAGCAATGGACTGAGGTCCTTGAGAACACAGAGGGAGTGGGGCCTCATTCACATGGGAGAGATCTGGCCTATGACTTGAAGAGGCACGTTTCCTTTAATATATTAGAAGAAAACAGTATGCAGATACATATGGGTTTATAAATATTTTAGGTGCAAGGATGAAGGACAGGGCGAGGAAGGAGAAAAGTTGGTTCACAAAGAGTCAGTTGTGTCTGGAAAATATTCTTACAAAATTCACATGGTAGAGCTTATATTTGATCCCTAATTGTGACCCTTCAGTAAATTTTGTAAATTGTTGCAGAAGAACACCACCATTTGATATGGTTTGGCTGTGTCCCACCCAAATCTCACCTCGAATTGTAATAATCCCCACCTGTCAAGGGCAGGGCCAAGTGAAGATAATTGAATGATAGGGGTGGTTTCCCTCATACTGTTCTCGTGGTAGTGAATAAGTCTCATGAGATCTGATGGTTTTATAAATGGGAGTATCCCAGCACACGCTCTCTTGCCTGCTGCCATGAAAGACGTGAGTTTGCTCCTCATTCACCTTCTGCCATGATTGTGAGGCCTCCCCAGCCATGTAGAACTGCGAGTCAATAAAAATTCTTTCCTTTATAAATTACTCAGTCTCAGGTATGCCTTTATTAGCAGTGTGAGAACAGAGGAATACACCATTTTTCTTTAAGGATCAAGTATTTCCAATGGGAGAAAATAGAGAAGCATTTTCTAGAGTCAAGGAAAGCATAGTGCATAAGTTAATTAACCTCCCTGGCATTCAGAATTTGTTCCTTGGGGAGCTCAAACCTAATTCTGTTTGTGCCAACCTAGAGTTGGTGTGGAATTTATTCTTCCCATATCCTACACAGAAGCAGCAAGAACATGGTTATAAATAGTGTACCTCAAATAGTAGTTCAGGCTCGAGAAACTATTTCTCCACTTACCACCCAACAAGACAAAACTCATAATGAATGTTAGAAAATTTATTTTTATCTTTAATGATATGTTTGAATGAGTTTTAAAATTGAGAGATTTTATCATTGTAATTATTTTTCCCTGCTAATTTCAATACTTTTAGATGGAATTGAGATTTTAGCTGGCTAAGATCCAAGTAATGTCTTAAGAACGCAATCATTCAAACATAGTCATTCAATTCTTAAAAAGTAAAAAAAGGCAAATGACTCTGTATATAAAATTTCTTGAGTTTTTCTTAGAAAAGAATGTACTGAAAAAAGTCATGTATGGGATAGGTAGTTTCTCATGGATGTAACTTCACAGCTGAAAGATTAGAGACCCAGTCCCAACCTGGGAACCATATGGAAAAACCTTCATGAGAAAGGGCAGGGGGAAGGCTAAAAAAGAAATGTCTAAAAAAGTCTAGCCCCAGGGAAACAGATACTTCAAAGAATAAATCCATCCAAAAGAAATGTCTAAAATTATCCTGTGTTGAATTTTTTTTTTCATTCCAGAAATGTTAAAACAGAACTCAGCAACAAGTTGAAACTCTGTGTGCTGGTAGGTTTGGAGGATGAGTGTGGAAGAAAGCTGTATGCTTTAAAATTACGTGCAAAATATTCCAGCAATCATCACTGTGTAGAACAGAAGAAATCCTGTATAGAAAATAATTTCATTATTGAATTAAATTTAAGGCAGGATGCAGCAATTATAAGTTGTTTTTAGGACCTAATATATGGTGTTATTTTAAAAACAGTTTTCCCTCAATTTTTCATTAATAAACTAATTCATGAAAAACAAAGTAGACAGAAGAAAAAAATGAAAAATTTTTTTCTCCCTGGGTACAAAGTACCATACGTTCTTATGTTTTTGTTTCACCTTATCAACATAGAACTAGTTGATTAAATTATTCCTTCCTTAAAGTTGATTAATTATTCCTTCCTGTACCTCTGCTGATTCATAGATCTCTATTGATATGACATTCATTTTGATTTGGTTTATTGTTTTGACAAGGCATAGGTTTGAGAGACTGAATACACAAACAGATAATGGCCAAACCATATATAACAATAAGACTCTGACCCACAACCTGCAGCACACAGCCCAGGAAACCAACCCATTATCTATAGTAACCAGCCCAACTATGAGTCAGAATTGTAGGAAGTCCAATTTCTATCTGTAGTTACCATTCCAGGAAGCCAGTAATAACCCTTGTAATAAGGGCCACAAATGGGCAGGACTTGATGCATAACTGACAACTTCCCTCATTTTTGTTCACACTTTCAGCTAGAGAAATCCTTAAGCACTCACATAAAATGTTCCATGTCTAATGAGTCCACCTACAGCTTCTCCAAACCAACATTCTCCAATCAGGGCATACTTCAAGCCTTCTTTTTTTTTCCCCCACTTTAAAGTTTTCTCACACCTCTTCCTGCCCTTGAGTCTCTGCCAAGATGCAAGTGATGGTGGCTGTCTTCCTTGCTATAGCAATCTTGGAATAAATAGTCTTGGATTGTTCTCTTTTGGGTGGTCTTTGTTTATTTCCACATGTTTTGTTACAATTTCCACTGCAGCTGATTCTTAAAGCCTCAGCTCTTTCTTTGATAGGGACTTTTTATCTTAGTCTCTCTGTGGGGTGCTCTCTTCCCTCCCCTCCATCCTGACTTAAACATGACTCATCTTTTAGATCTCAGTTCTACAGCCCCTTCTATAGGATTCCAACTAGGTCAAATCAGTCTAATTAGGTCAAATCCTCATGGCGTTCAAGTGCTTCTCCTTTGAAGATATTAAAATGGTTCAAATCAAATTAATGTTGATCTCTTTTACTATATTTTAAGGTTCCTAAGGGCAGGAATTTTGCAGTTTGCCCACCATTGTATTCTGAGATCCTAGCCTAGCACATAATAGGTACTCAACAAATATCTGCTGACTTGACAGAAATGAAACAATAATTCCTGTACTACCACTTTGTTTAAGAAACATACCACCTAATAATAGGATCGTGGAGTGATTAACCTGGGGTGGCTTCAGTCTTTTTGAACCACTCACTTTTATATAAGGCCCATGAGTTTAAGACCTCACACATATTGTCTCATTGGCAATTTCCTCTTCTAACTCCCTTGGATCCCCATGAGTATCTACAGATTTTCCTAAGTACCAGACAGACTCTCAGTTCCCTTTAAGAACCTGGTATTGACCCTGACTTCCTCAAGTAGCTTTGAAGTTTCAGGGCCTAGTGGAGTCCTCTGTGGCCTTTATACTTTGACAATACTTCTGTACATCTTACTCTAATTATGATTTATATCTTTTCCTCTTCCAGACCCTGAGCCTCTCAAAATAAAAGACTACCTTCTGTTTATCTTGCACGAAGCAAATGCTACATACTTATTTGTTGAATTAATAACTGAACCACGACTGTTGATGAGTTATTATGTGCTAACCAGGTACTAACAGATCATAGCTGTTATTTTATTTAATTTCACAATAACTCTGTGAATTAAATAGTATTACCTTCCTTTTCTAGACGAGAAAAACGAGTCTGAGACAGGTAAGGAATCTTGAAGTTTACATATCAAGTGAATAGCAAAGGTAAGCTTTGAATTTAGACATATCACAGACTCCAAATTCTATAATTTAAACTCCGTGCTATATTAAACATAGGCTCTATATTTCAATTCTGTTATCTAAAGTCCTAGTCTTGTCTAGTTTTCTCTTTGCTGTACAACAATATAGTTTCCATTGTCCTTGAAATTCTTCTTTCATGGTCCATAGACACCATGTTTCAAGAGTATACTTAAATTCATGAACTAAAATACTTAATCCTATGTCGTCCTTCATATTTACATTAAAAATATTGCTTAAAATGTAACCATTTTAACAGTTGTACTTTCTTAAAACTTAAAATATTCCTTACAATTCTGATTTCTAAAGAAATATATTTATGTTTAAAATGTGTATACTAAAAAGAACATTTTAATCTTTACTTTTTATATTCTGCATTTTTAATTTAGAAAGTAGAAGTTGCTAGTCAATAAATCATTCTCAGATATATTTCCCCAACTTCTATAATAAATGGGTTTCTAGATGGTTCTCTGATAAATTAAGGCCTTAGAGGTGATTTAACATCATAAAACATCAAAGCTCATTGTTGATATTAATGTGTGAAATAAAAGCTGTAATGTTCTCATGTTCTCAGTGTGCTATTTGCAAAATGTAAAATACCACATTAAATGTAACCTAGAGTTTATAAATTGATTTATGTCAACACACGAACCAAACACAACCATTTACTGCTATGTGTTTTTTATTAAACACATCACGAGATCAAAATGGCAGTTAGAACAGCTTATTCTTTCATATTAAGTAGAACTATGAAGCTGTTGCCTGTATTTAAGAAGGTAATAACAGGTATTTGCATTTCTTTTCTAAGCACAACACATCGGCTAGAACTCAACTAGTATTTCCTGCTAAAAATAGACCTCAATATGAAAAGGAGAGGCAAAGAAGAAGCAACAGTTATTTCCCCTTATAGAAAATTGCATTTCTTGGGCTTCTTTGTCCTACGTAGAATGAACATTATGTAGGTTTTGGATTCTTCCCCTTAAATCTTGGAATAGCTAAAATACACTTTAACTTCTCCCAATTACTCACTTTCCTAGCATAGAGGAATTTATTTATATATAGTTTCATTTATGTAATTTCTTAACATCTGTTAAAGGCTATAAAGAGACAGTTCACATAATCCTCAAAGGAAAATAGACTGAGAATAAACTAGGACTGTATCCACCAGCCAAAGATGTGAATGCCAGACAAAGGCACCTTGATGATATTTTCCCTTCCTTCTTGTTTTCTTTTAATTTCTTTTTGTCTTTTTTTGCTTCTTATAGTTAGAACTAAAGCCAAAGACTAGGCATCTGTATATGTGCAATATATAGCTTTTGGCACACATTGTATGCTGTCCAAAAGTTAAGAATAATGAGATGTTGTTTTGTCTTCTACTTAATACTTTTCTTAAGTAAACTACAGTGATAATGACTGGGCCATTCTCCACAGTATTCATCATTTAGCATTTTAATTGTTGAGTAGAATATAATAGAAAAACAGTGTAGGATGGAGCTTATATAAGGAAGGTGTTGTGAGAAAATGTCTAGGTTAAAGTTCTCAGTTGGGAAATTTTTAATCAAGGCAACAAGCGTGTATTGCTTGAACCAAGCGATGTTTTGTGATTTTAAAACAGAAAATTTTACATCCCTAATTTCATTTAATCTAAGATGTCACAATTTATAAGACACACTCTGATTTCAGAGTTGTTAAAACATGAAAAATAATATCTTTTTGAAATAATAAAATATGGTAAATATCTGAATTTCTGGCTTCTTTTGGCAAATTGAAAGATTTGGCCATAAGAGGACTAAGAATACAACTTGTCAAAAAAAGCTGCTGTCAAGTAGTGGCTGCTTCATTTGATTTCCTTTTCTCCCTTCTTTCCTCTCTCTTCCCCTCCTTCCCTCCCTTCCTATTAAAAGTAGGGAATGGAGTACAACATGATTTGGGAGGTGTGTGTATTATTTTTCATGATGTGATAAGGCAAGTACTCATTGAAGAGGCGACATTTGATCTAAGCCTTCAGCAATGAGAAGAAGCCAGTCCTGAAAAGCTCTTCTTCACCTTTTTGGCCAGTCTTTTTTTCTCTCCTTTGGAAGACCTCTCTTTGCACTGACTTGTTATTATCCCCAGGACTTTTCCCTTGATCCTCTTCTTTTCACTTTTGGATTTTATCAAAGATTTAACCATGACTTAAACCCTAAAGATTCCTGGATTTTCATCTTAAATCCAATCCTCTATCCTGAGTTCCAAGCTCCAGAACAATTTTTCTAACTCTCTAGAAACAGCCCCCTCCAACCTGGAAACTTCACAATCCTTATACACTCCAATCAGATCCAAACTGGCTTCATTATTCCTCTCATTCTCAAGTCCCTCCTTCTTCTGAATTATAGTAATGCTTACATTGTATGCACTACTTTATTTTAACTTAATAAATACTTTTATTATTCCTACTATGTGCCTAACACTAATCCAAATGCTTACAAATTCTGTATGAGATTGTGTATTCATTGAAACAAAGGATTTGTTTCTTAATCTCTTCATCTCTGGCTGTTAGTATGCAAAGGATGTTCAATAAATGCTTGGTGAGAAATAGAAGGAAGTGATGAATCAATAAATGAAAAAATAAATGAAATGAGTGTAACTATAGTTGAGTAGGGAAAGTACAATGTGACTTATTTATTTATTCACATGTAATTTAAGTCATTCCTATGGACAAGCATACTACACCACGTGGAAGGAAAAAAACCCATTTTAAATAATCGCCTCCCTCAAGGAACCCAAAGTTTCATTGAAATGACTTTTGTGGGAGAGAAAGATATAAGCATACATTACAATTAAAAGCGAAGGTCTCAATCCTTCCCTTTCCCAGTATGTAAGAAGAATGCTCTTTATTTGCTTTGATTAGCTCTTAGGCCTTTGTTATACAAATGACAATAATAAGAGATGGAAAAATTTACAGAGCCAGAGAGTCTGGGATAGTATATTGGGGGAGGAGCTATGTCTAGGCAAAAGAGACCAGGGTGAGAGAAGAGAGAAACAGAGACAGTGTGTGTATAAATATTAATATGTGTATATCTTTGTATAAATATATGTATATTTGTAGAGAACTTGTGAGACATTAAAAACATTCATTAGGTCTTATAAGAAATTAGGTCTTATAAATATAGGTCTTGTAAAAACAATGTCCCTTCTCATGTCTTTTCAAAATAATACAGTAAGTATTTTCAATACTTCAGTTGTGTTTTTTTTTATTTTTTTTATTTTTTATTATTATACTTTAAGTTTTAGGGTACATGTGCACATTGTGCAGGTTAGTTACATATGTATACATGTGCCATGCTGGTGTGCTGCACCCACTAACTCGTCATCTAGCATTAGGTATATCTCCCAATGCTATCCCTTCCCCCTCCCCCCACCCCACAACAGTCCCCAGAGTGTGATGTTCCCCTTCCTGTGTCCATGTGATCTCATTGTTCGATTCCCACCTATGAGTGAGAATATGTGGTGTTTGGTTTTTTGTTCTTGTGATAGTTTACTGAGAATGATGATTTCCAGTTTCATCCATGTCCCTACAAAGGACATGAACTCATCATTTTTTATGGCTGCATAGTATTCCATGGTGTATATGTGCCACATTTTCTTAATCCAGTCTATCATTGTTGGACATTTGGGTTGGTTCCAAGTCTTTGCTATCGTGAATAATGCCGCAATAAACATACGTGTGCATGTGTCTTTATAGCAGTATGATTTATAGTCCTTTGGGTATATACCCAGTAATTGGATGGCTGGGTCAAATGGTATTTCTAGTTCTAGATCCCTGAGGAATCGCCACACTGACTTCCACAATGGTTGAACTAGCTTACAGTCCCACCAACAGTGTAAAAGTGTTCCTATTTCTCCACATCCTCTCCAGCACCTGTTGTTTCCTGACTTTTTAATGATTGCCATTCTAAGTGGTGTGAGATGGTATCTCATTGTGGTTTTGATTTGCATTTCTCTGATGGCCAGTGATGAGCGTTTTTTCATGTGTTTTTTCACAGCATAAATGTCTTCTTTTGAGAAGTGTCTGTTCATGTCCTTCGCCCACTTTTTGATGGGGTTGTTTTTTTCTTGTAAATTTGTTTGAGTTCATTGTAGATTCTGGATATTAGCCCTTTGTCAGATGAGTAGGTTGCAAAAATTTTCTCCCACTTTGTAGGTTGCCTGTTCATTCTGATGGTAGTTTCTTTTGCTGTGCAGAAGCTCTTTAGTTGAATTAGATCCCATTTGTCAATTTTGGCTTTTGTTGCCATTGCTTTTGGTGTTTTAGATATGAAGTCCTTGCCCATGCCTATGTCCTGAATGGTAATGCCTATGTTTTCTTCTAGGGTTTTTATGGTTTTAGGTCTAACATTTAAGTCTTTAATCCATCTTGAATTGATTTTTGTATAAGGTGTAAGGAAGGGATCCAGTTTCAGCTTTCTACATGTGGCTAGCCAGTTTTCCCGGCACCATTTATTAAATAGGGAATCCTTTCCCCATTGCTTGTTTTTCTCAGGTTTGTCAAAGATCAGATAGTTGTAGATATGCAGCGTTATTTCTGAGGGCTCTGTTCTGTTCCATTGATCTATATCTCTGTTTTGGTACCAGTACCATGCTGTTTCGGTTACTGTAGGCTTGTAGTATAGTTTGAAGTCAGGTAGTGTGATGCCTCCAGCTTTGTTCTTTTGGCTTAGGATTGACTTGGTGATGCGGGCTTTTTTTTGGTTCCATATGAACTTTAAAGTAGTTTTTTCCAATTCTGTGAAGAAAGGCATTGGTAGCTTGATGGGGATGGCATTGAATCTGTAAATTACCTTGGGCAGTATGGCCATTTTCACGATATTGATTCTTCCTACTCATGAGCATGGAATGTTCTTCGTTTGTTTGTATCCTGTTTTATTTCCTTGAGCAGTGGTTTGTAGTTCTTCTTGAAGAGGTCCTTCACGTCCCTTGTAAGTTGGATTCCTAGGTATTTCCTTCTCTTTAAAGCAATTGTGAATGGGAGTTCACTCATGATTTGGCTCTCTGTTTGTCTGTTGTTGGTGTATAAGAATGCTTGTGATTTTTGTACATTGATTTTGTATCCTGAGACTTTGCTGAAGTTGCTTATCAGCTTAAGGAGATTTTGGGCTGAGACAATGGGGTTTTCTAGATAAACAATCATGTCGTCTGCAAACAGGGACAATTTGACTTCCTCTTTTCCTAATTGAATACCCTTTATTTCCTTCTCCTGCCTAATTGCCCTGGCCAGAACTTCCAACACTATGTTGAATAGGAGTGGTGAAAGAGGGCATCCCTGTCTTGTGCCAGTTTTCAAAGGGAATGCTTCCAGTTTTTGCCCATTCAGTATGATATTGGCTGTGGGTTTGTCATAAATAGCTCTTATTATTTTGAAATACGTCCCACCAATACCTAATTTATTGAGAGTTTTTAGCATGAAGGGTTGTTGAATTTTGTCAAAAGCCTTTTCTGCATCTATTGAGATAATCATGTGGTTTTTGTCTTTGGCTCTGTTTATATGCTGGATTACATTTATTGATTTGTGTATATTGAACCAGCCTTGCATCCCAGGGATGAAGCCCACTTGATCATGGTGGATAAGCTTTTTGATGTGCTGCTGGATTCGGCTTGCCAGTATTTTATTGAGGATTTTTGCATCAATGTTCATCAAGGATATTGGTCTAAAATTCTCTTTTTTGGTTGTGTCTCTGCCCGGCTTTGGTATCAGAATGATGCTGGCCTCATAAAATGAGTTAGGGAGGATTCCCTCTTTTTCTATTGATTGGAATAGTTTCAGAAGGAACGGTACCAGTTCCTCCTTGTACCTCTGGTAGAATTCGGCTGTGAATCCATCTGGTCCTGGACTCTTTTTGGTTGGTAAGCTATTGATTATTGCCACAATTTCAGATCCTGTTATTGGTCTATTCAGAGATTCAACTTCTTCCTGGTTTAGTCTTGGGAGAGTGTTTGTGTCGAGGAATTTATCCATTTCTTCTAGATTTTCTAGTTTATTTGCGTAGAGGTGTTTGTAGTATTCTCTGATGGTAGTTTGTATTTCTGTGGGATCGGTGGTGATATCCCCTTTATCATTTTTTATTGCGTCTATTTGATTCTTCTCTCTTTTTTCTTTATTAGTCTTGCTAGCGGTCTATCTATTTTGTTGATCCTTTCAAAAAACCAGCTGCTGGATTCATTAATTTTTTGAAGGGTTTTTTGTGTCTCTATTTCCTTCAGTTCTGCTCTGATTTTAGTTATTTCTTGCCTTCTGCTAGCTTTTGAAAGTGTTTGCTCTTGCTTTTCTAGTTCTTTTAATTGTGATGTTAGGGTGTCAATTTTGGATCTTTCCTGCTTTCTCTTGTGGGCATTTAGTGTTATAAATTTCCCTCTACACACTGCTTTGAATGCATCCCAGAGATTCTGGTATGTTGTGTGTTTGTTCTCATTGGTTTCAAAGAACATCTTTATTTCTGCCTTCATTTCATTATGTACCCAGTAGTCATTCAGGAGCAGGTTGTTCAGTTTCCATGTAGTTGAGCGGTTTTGAGTGAGATTCTTAATCCTGAGTTCTAGTTTGATTGCACTGTGGTCTGAGAGATAGTTTGTTATAATCTCTGTTCTTTTACATTTGCTGAGGAGAGCTTTACTTCCAACTATGTGGTCAATTTTGGAATAGGTGTGGTGTGGTGCTGAAAAAAATGTATATTCTGTTGATTTGGGGTGGAGAGTTCTGTAGATGTCTATTAGGTCTGCTTGGTGCAGAGCTGAGTTCAATTCCTGGGTATCCTTGTTGACTTTCTGTCTCGTTGATCTGTCTAATGTTGACAGTGGGGTGTTAAAGTCTTCCACTATTAATGTGTGGGAGTCTAAGTCTCTTTGTAGGTCACTCAGGACTTGCTTTATGAATCTGGGTGCTCCTGTATTGGGTGCATATATATTTAGGATAGTTAGCTCTTCTTGTTGAATTGATCCCTTTACCATTATGTAATGGACTTCTTTGTCTCTTTTGATCTTTGTTGGTTTAAAGTCTGTTTTGTCAGAGACTAGAATTGCAACCCCTGCCTTTTTTTGTTTTCCCTTTGCTTGGTAGATCTTCCTCCATCCTTTTATTTTGAGCCTATGTGTGTCTCTGCACGTGAGATGGGTTTCCTGAATACAGCACACTGATGGATCTTGACTCTTTATCCAATTTGCCAGTCTGTGTCTTTTAATTGGAGCATTTAGTCCATTTACATTTAAAGTTAATATTGTTATGTGTGAATTTGATCCTGTCCTTATGATGTTAGCTGGTTATTTTGCTGGTTAGTTGATGCAGTTTCTTCCTAGTCTCGATGGTCTTTATATTTTGGCAAGATTTTGCAGTGGCTGGTACTGGTTGTTCCTTTCCATGTTTAGCGCTTCCTTCAGGAGCTCTTTTAGGGCAGGCCTGGTGGTGACAAAATCTCTCAGCATTTACTTGTCTGTAAAGTATTTTATTTCTCCTTCACTTATGAAGCTTAGTTTGGCTGGATATGAAATTCTGGGTTGAAAATTCTCTTCTTTAAGAATGTTGAATATTGGCCCCCACTCTCTTCTGGCTTGCAGAGTTTCTGCCGAGAGATCCGCTGTTAGTCTGATGGGCTTCCCTTTGAGGGTAACCTGACCTTTCTCTCTGGCTGCCCTTAACATTTTTGCCTTCATTTCAACTTTGGTGAATCTGACAATTATGTGTCTTGGAGTTGCTCTTCTCGAGGAGTATCTTTGTGGCGTTCTCTGTATTTCCTGAATCTGAACGTTGGCCTGCCTTGCTAGATTGGGGAAGTTCTCCTGGATAATATCCTGCAGAGTGTTTTCCAACTGGGTTCCATTCTCCCCATCACTTTCAGGTACACCAATCAGACGTAGATTTGGTCTTTTCACATAGTCCCATATTTCTTGGAGGCTTTGTTTGTTTCTTTTTATTCTTTTTTCTCTAAACTTCCCTTCTCGCTTCATTTCATTCATTTCATCTTCCATCACTGATACTCTTTCTTCCAGTTGATCACTTCGGCTCCAGAGGCTTCTGCATTCTTCACATAGTTCTCAAGCCTTGGTTTTCAGCTCCATCAGCTCCTTTAAGCACTTCTCTGTATTGGTTATTCTAGTTAAACATTCTTCTAAATTTTTTTCAAAGTTTTCAACTTCTTTGCCTTTGGTTTGAATGTCCTCCCGTAGCTCAGAGTAATTTGATCGTCTGAAGCCTTCTTCTCTCAGCTCGTCAAAGTCATTCTCCATCCAGCTTTGTTCCGTTTCTGGTGAGGAACTGCGTTCCTTTGGAGGAGGAGAGGCGCTCTGCTTTTTAGAATTCCCAGTTTTTCTGTTCTGTTTTTTCCCCATCTTTGTGGTTTTATCTACTTTTGGTCTTTGATGATGGTGATGTACAGATGGGTTTTTGGTGTGGATGTCCTTTCTGTTAGTTTTCCTTCTAACAGACAGGACCCTCAGCTGCAGGTCTGTTGGAGTACCCTGCCGTGTGAGGTGTCAGTGTGCCCCTGCTGGGGGGTGCCTCCCAGTTAGGCTTCTCGGGGGTCAGGGGTCAGGGACCCACTTGAGGAGGCTGTCTGCCCGTTCTCAGATCTCCAGCTGCATACTGGGAGAACCACTGCTCTCTTCAAAGCTGTCAGACAGGGACATTTAAGTCTGCAGAGGTTACTGTTGTCTTTTTGTTTGTCTGTGCCCTGCCCCCAGAGGTGGAGCCTACAGAGGCAGGCAGGCCTCCTTGAGCTGTGGTGGGCTCCACCCAGTTCGAGCTTCCTGGCTCCTTTGTTTACCTAAGCAAGCCTGGGCAATGGTGGGCGCCCCTCCCCCAGCCTCGCTGCCACCTTTCAGTTTGATCTCAGACTGCTGTGCTAGCAATCAGTGAGACTCCATGGGCGTAGGACCCTCCGAGCCAGGTGCGGGATATAATCTCGTGGTGCGCCGTTTTTTAAGCCCGTGGGACAAGCACAGTATTTGGGTGGGAGTGACCCGATTTTCCAGGTGCCGTCCGTCACCCCTTTCTTTGACTAGGAAAGGGAACTCCCTGACCCCTTGCACTTCCCGAGTGAGGCAATGCCTCACCCTGCTTCGGCTCGCGCACGCTGCGCACACCCACTGACCTGCGCCCACTGTCTGGCACTCCCTAGTGAGATGAACCCGATACCTCAGATGGAAATGCAGAAATCACCCGTCTTCTGCGTCGCTCACGCTGGGAGCTGTAGACCGGAGCTGTTCCCATTCGGCCATTTTGGCTCCTCCCTCCTAACCTTAAAGTTCTTCCAGTTGTGCTTTTTAACCTTATAGATCCCGTATCCATCTCTGTTTCCTGACCTGGTCTACCAAATATCTTACATGTAACTAAATGATTTGCAAAATAATTAAATTCCTTTGTGCTATTGTTTGACATCAGCATACAGATTACAACAAAAGTCAATGGTTCTAAACTCAGTTGCTTAATAGATTCATCTGGGAAGCTTTAAAAAATATAGCAATTCTAATTTAATTGTTATTGTGCTGGGGCCCAGGCATTAAAATTTTTTAAATTATCCAAAGTGACTTAATTATGTACTCAGTGCTGTGAAACTCTGCCTTTATTCTTGAGCCATTTTTGTTGTTATGAGACCACAAAATAAGAGTACATGGAAAAAGGAAATGTACAGACTGACAAGAAAAATCGGCAGAGCACCAATATTTATGGCAGTAGCAGAGGCAAAGATACCCATGAGATAGAATGGAAAATAAATTCCTGAGAGTGATAGAAAAAAACACAAATAAATGTATTGTTGTTGGAGAGAGTGATCAACTCTGTCAGTTAGTTTTGGTAGGAAGGAGCATAGATCTGAAAACTGACCACTAATTTGTCAATTAGGAGATCATTGCTAATTTTAGTATGAATAGTTTTTGTGGGTAGGCACAGAAATCATATTTAAATGGATTGAGGAGTAAATTAAAAAAATGATAATTAGGAGAAAGCAAGCATTAACTTTTTTTTTTGAGACTAGGAAGAGAAAGAACAGTCAAAAGCTAGAAGGCTTTTGGTGTGTGTGTGTCGATTCATTATCGTGCCTAGGATAAAGAAGACCTGACCATTTTTATAGGCTTGCAGAAAAGAGCTTGTATAAGGCACTGAAGTACAAGTATGATAATTAATGAGTAGGGGTGCAGAGAAAATTGAAAGCACATAGGATCACGGGTTCAGGTGGAAAGGAAGACATTCAACAGAAGGAAAATTTTTCACTCTGAGACTGGAAATAGGGAGAAAGATGTGAGTGAGGACGCAGAAAATTTTACTGGTGAGGTGTAAAGGTGTTGAGAGAGTTTATACCTTATGAACTCAATCTTTGAAATAAATACGAGGCAAGCCTATTTGCTGAGAGCTGGGACAAAGAGAGTAGGAATTTTAAGACTAAAGAGAGTTCGTTGTTATTGAGAGGAATGAAAAAGGTTGCTGATCAAACATCAGTTACGGGATTGTCAGAAAGCAATGAGCGTCCAGCCCATGTTGGTGCTTTGAATTTGTAGAGGTTTCAATTTGCATAATTAGGTGATATTATACACACACACACACACTCACACACACACACATTCTTAATCATATAGTAGTTCTTAGCCACAACATAAATCACAGGAGTTTGACATTTCTCTAGAGAAACCATTACCCTAAACTGTATGACAAGATCCAGAGGGTGACCTATAGAGAAAAATGGAAGTGAAACTCTGTAGAATAGCAGCACCATCAGAAATATAATGTGAGCCACATATCTAATATTAAATTTTCTAGTCACATTTAAAAAGTAAGAAGAAACAGATAAAATTTAATAATATATTTTATTTAATCCAATGTATCCAAAATATTTTCATTTTAACATACAATCAATAAGTAATAATGTATAACAATAATGAGGCATTTTGCATTCATATTTCATACTATCTTTGCAATTAGGCTGTGTTTCACACACAGCATATCTCAATTAGAGACAGCTCTGTATCTAATGCTCTATATCATATGTGACTAGTGGCTACCACAGTGGACAAAGCTGGTCTAGAAATAAAGAAGTCAGGGGATGGTGAAGTTGGAGAGAAGATGTGGTCACTACATAGTTGATAAAATCTCCTTGAATCTTGATGGAACTTAGGTGTCACACAAGAAGACTGAATCTGATGTGAGAGAATTTGATAACCTGAAGAAAGGGAGGAAATTTGAATAATTACGTATGTCCCATGGTCTTTTAGAGGAATATTGAAAAATGAGTTTATTTATACCTGCATAAGTTATCTTCAAGATAATTATTGAGGACATATCTGCGCTTCCATGTTTATTACAGAACTATTCACAATAGCTAAGATTGGAATCAAACTAAGTTTATTAACAGATGAACAGATAAAGAAAATGTGGTATTGTGTCCGGAATTGGTGGGTTCTTGGTCTCACTGACTTCAAGAATGAAGCCGCGGACCCTCGCAGTGAGTGTTACAGCTCTTAAGGTGGTGCCTCTGGAGTTTGTTCCTTCTGATGTTCAGATGTGTTCGGAGTTTCTTCTTTCTGGTGGGCTCATGGTCTTGCTGGTTTCAGGAGTGAAGCTGCAGACCTTCGCAGTGAGTGTTACAGCTCATAAAAGCCGTGTGGACCCGAAGAGTGAGCAGTAGCAAGATTTATTGCAAAGAGCGAAAGAACAAAGCTTCCACAGCGTGGAAGCAGACCCCAGCGGGTTGCCACCGCTGGCTGGGACAGCCTGCTTTTATTCTCTTATCTGGCCCCACCCACATCCTGCTGATTAGTAGAGCCAGCGGAGTGGTCTGTTTTGCCAGGGCACTGATTGGTGCGTTTACAATCCCTGAGCTAGACACAAAGGTTCTCCACCTCCCCACTAGATTAGCTAGACACAGAGTGTGGACACAAAGGTTCTCCAGGTTCCCACCAGAGTAGCTAGATACAGAATGTCAATTGGTGTATTCACACACCCTGAGCTAGATACAGGGTGCTGACTGGTGTGTTTACAAATCTTGAGCTAGATACAGAGTTCCGATTGGTGTATTTACAATCCCTGAGCTAGACATAAAAGTTCTCCAAGGCCCCACCAGAGTAGCTAGATACAGAGTGTCAATTGGTGCATTCACAAACCCTGAGCTAGACACAGGGTGCTGATTGGTGTGTTCACAAACCTTGAGCTAGATACAGAGTGCCGATTGGTGTATTTACAATCCCTGAGCTAGACATAAAGGTTCTCCACGTCCCCACCAGACTCAGGAGCCCAGCTGGCTTCACCCAGTGGATGCCACACTGGGGCTGCAGGTGGAGCTGCCTGCCACTCCTGCGCCATGTGCCCACACTCCTCAGCCCTTGGGTGGTCGATGGGACTGGGCGCAGTGGAGCAGGGGATGGCGCTCATCGGGGAGGCTCGGGCCGCACAGGAGCCCACAGAGCGGGTGGGAGGCTCAGGCATGGCGGGCTGCAGGTCCGGAGACCTGCCCCGCCGGAAGGCAGCTAAGGTCCTGCGAGAAATTGAGCACAGCAGCTGCTGGCCCAGGTGCTAATCCCCTCACTGCCCGGGGCCGGTGGGGCCGGCTGGTGGCTTGGAGCACGGGGTTCGCGGAACCCACGCCCACCCGGAACTCACGCTGGCCCGCAAGCACCGTGAGCAGCCCAGGTTCCCGCCCGCGCCTCTCCCTCCACACCTCTCCGCAAGCTGAGGGAGCCGGCTGCGGCCTTGGCCAGCCCAGAAAGGGGCTCCCACAGTGCCCCGGCGGGCTGAAGGGCTCCTCAAGTGCCGCCAAAGTGGGAGCCCAGGCAGAGGAGGCGCTGAGAGTGAGCAAGGGCTGTGAGGACTGCCAGCACGCTGTCACCTCTCAGTATCTATACACAATAGAATACTATTCAGCCAGAAAACAGAATAAAATCTTGTCATTCGCAACAACATGGGCGGAACTGGAGGACATTATGTTAAGTGAAATAAGTTAGGCACAGAAAGGCAAATATCACATGTTCTCACTCATTTGTGGGAGCTCAAACAGTTGATCTCAATAAGGTAGAGAGTAGAATGATGGTTACTAGAGGCTGGGAAGGGCAGTGGTGAAGAAAGATTGGTTAACAAGTACAAAAATACAGTTAGATAGAAAGAATATGTTCTAGGTTTTGATAGCACAGTAGAGTGACTATAGTTAAAAATAATTTATTGTGTATTTCAAAATAGAAAACAAAATGTGGAATATTCCCAACACCAAGAAATGATAAATGTTTGAGGTGATGGATATTCTACTTACCCTAATTTGTATTCTACTTACATTGTATGCTGGTGTAAAAATATTACATGTATCCCATAAACATGTACAGTTATTATGTATCAATTTATAAATTGAAAAATATATTTATATAGAGAATGAATATATATAAGGAGTTTTTGAAATAAAAATTTTAAGTTATTCTTTTGGGAACTAAATATTACAACTGTTGTTTCATCTAGCTCCAATCACTTCAAAATTATAAATTTACCTTTTGCTATAATAAAACCTTTGTGAGAAACTTCAGCTTTTAATTTTAAAATATGCATCTAAGCATTTCCACATGTCTGGAGGGCTGTGCCGCTGCTGTCAACACAACAGCCGCCTGGAAAGGTGTGACCATGAACACACAACTTCCCAGTGAATCAGACACCCAGGCAGCTTCACCTCCTGTACTGTCTACCACTGATCAATATATTGTCATTATTTCAAGAGAAAAATAAATGTCATATGGCCACATATATTTAAAATTGATTTTCAGTATATGATTTCATATATTAATTATCTTCCCCAAGAAAGGAATAATCTAAATTCCATAAGTAAAGAATTTCAATTGACTTTGGAAAATGAAAATGAGTCTCTGTTTCTCTAAGCTTACAATAATGATGCCATATTTTTTTGAATGGCTTGATCATGCTATCAACTAAGAGTTCACCTCCCAGAAATGCTTCAGTGTGTTTGACTCAATACCACACATGATGGTTTTTGTGTACATGTTGCTCATCATTGCACATCTGATGCCAATAATCTGTTCTTGGCGATCTAATCGAAAAGTAAACTAAAAGTTTCCAAACACGTTTTTTAGAGTACTGTGTCCATGCATTAACCCTATTCAAAACAGTGTGCCAATTCAAAAAACAAGGGCTCACTAAAATTCTATCATCTTTTCCCCCCTCAAAATCCAATTGTTGCTGAACTATTTTATTGCCTACTGCTATCAAAAAGAAAATACAACACAAGCACAATAAAAACAACATTAAGACATATTTTTAGGTAGTTACTGGCTTCTGGTTTTTGGCTAGTACATTATGATAAATATAAATTATTATTATCTTAAAACTGGTATTTCACCTTATGGTGTTGCATCTGTGTTTAGCCAAAAAATGCCAGATGGCATCAAGAAACCAGTTGCTCACTATGTGAGAACAATGACATATACGTTACACATAAGCCGACAAAGCTCCAGCAATTATCAAGGAGCCAAAAACTCCTTTAGCCACCTTTGTCAGGCTTTTTCAATTAATGAATTACAGAACCCTTAGAGTATTCTCTGGGGATTCATCTCTAAGAATAACCATACTCCCTTAATTATGTATCCATAGATGAACTCTTCTGCCACTCACCTCCAAGCTTAGAAGACTAAGTAATTTCAAAAGCTTCTGCTTTTGGCTCTTGGCTTCAGATCATGTTATCCTTCTGCCATCATATGGTAGAAGATCACCTCTTCACATCATTTCATGCTGATTAAATGACCACTAGAACAGCTACCCAAGGAATTCAAGCACATTACAATATTTCAATTTGATTTTTCTGTTCATAATTGATTCTATTTCATGAGGAGTTACACTGTTATTATAGAAGGTAATTTTTATATTAGCTGGGAAATATTCAGATAAAATATTAGAAACACTTTGCATTAAAACATTGATTAAAAATTAAATCTGGTAACATAGAATAGATTCTAATATTAAGAGTAATGTAGATGTGTGCAGTCTATGGCACACCCAGACCCTGAATAAAGAAATATTGACCGCCCCCCACCGCTTTGATTTTTCCTGGATTGTTCCAAAGGAAAATTTTTTATTCTTAGATACCTTCTAACATTCATTGGAAACCTAACAGCAGCAATGACCACAGGTTCATACAAATTATTTACAACACATGGATTGTCAAATAACACTATTTTTAACAATAGGTTCTCATTTACTTAAATTGAGCTTAAAGAATTCTTCAAAGATTTCTGGTTGTGGTGGTGCTATAAACTTATGCATTAAAATCTCACTATCCCAATCCAAATATATAAAAATGATAAATAAAATATTAAATGCCAAACCAAAAAGATATAGCTGTACTTTAAACTCACTGTGAACCAGAAACAGAACAGAAACAACCTGGATGGAGGCTAAAGCCATGGGCCGCTGGACCCTAGGAAGTTGAATTCCTACAGGGCGACAAGGGCAAAAATCACCATATGCAGGTTGGGGTCCCGGATCCAAGTTCATGGCAGGAAACCTGGGGCTGGTCTAGGAGTTTTCCACCCTTGAAAAGAGATAGGAGAAAGCTGTGACTGCTGGCTGTGGCTGTGGCTTTTGAAAGCTGCTGGGGAGGTCAGAAGCTGCCAAACAAGCAGCACCTGCTGATCCAGCAGCTGCCTCTGCAATGTCCCCAGGTTCGCTGGGGAGAGAAAGCCCACCAGTGGGCACAGGGGCAGATTTTGGAGGAAGGGGTTGGCAAGTAATTTCCACCCAGGAGAATACTGAAAGTGAATCTTCCATGTACATAGAGAAACCTTAACATTAAAGAGAAGCAATAAAATCAATAAAACAAAGTTACATTGACTGGACAAAATGCAAATAACATAGCATCTTAAAATGACTTGAAGGTCTGTCACTAACCCTTAGGCAGGAAAAGAAAGGAAAATATCCATAAGAAATTATAAAATACAAGCAGATAGCTATAAATTTAGGTCAAATGAAAATGAGAAACACCAGTTAGTAATCTGTCAAATAAAAAATTTAGCCATTGCATTGAAGAGCTCAATAAATAGAATAATTCTAGACCTAATCACAAAGAATTAGGTAATACCAAAAATTCAACCAAAATGAAGCACAGACAGGTAACAAGATAAAAACTCAGAAAGTTGGAGAAATGGTGTTTAGATGGAAAGCCTCTAGTATAGTTCTAATAAAAGTTTCAGAAGTAGAGAATAAAGGAAATTGTGAAGAAGAAACTGTCCAAGAGATCATGGCTAATAATTTCCAGAATTGGGAAACACACATACATACACAAGTTATCAGACTGAAATAGTATCTTGAGAGCAGAAGAGAATGAATAAGATCTATACTCAGATATATCACTTTGAAGTTGCAGAAATCAAACACAAAAAAGAGTATTTTGAGAGCTACCAGAGACAAAAGACAGGTGGCCTCTAAAGGGTTGACAACTGGACTGACAGCAGATTTCTCATCAGTCAGAATATATTTCAAAAAGTAGTCTGAAGCCAAGTTCCTAATCCCAAAAGCATTGAGCAAAAAGTATTGGGGCCTAGGCACAATGCCAGGAGAGCCAGGCACCATGGGTAGTAGTTGAAAGGACAGAAGATTTGAGGTGGTCAAGGAGTCTGGAATCATGGCTGAACTGAAGAGTAGGCAGATAAGCAGATTTTGTTCAATTAATTCCTCCCACTGTGAACATTGGTGCTCCATAAATGATTAAAGAGAATTCTGGAAGCTCATTTCCAGAGCAGCATTTCCTAAACCTGTTCCATGACACATTGACAAGTGAATAAACCTCTCTGTTAAATAAACAAAAAGGTTCCATTGTCAAATATGTTTGGAAACTGCGGCATGAAACAAAATTTATGCACAACAAAACAAAATCCTCACAACACATTTTCCCAGACCGTTTGCTAAATCAATATGCTATGTAAATCTTCAGGAAGGATGTTTAGAATGCAGGGTTTTCAAATCATTTTGAACATAGACAGATATTTCCTTAGAAGGGCTAAGGAGATAATCCACAGAACACGCTTTGGAAGGAAAGCGTCTTTAGATTTATCTAGCCTTAATATTTTCCTCTCTATTTTCTGACAGGTCTCTGGAGACACAGAGTAAAGTAAGCAAAAAAATTCTTCTCCAGTCATTATACAACCCACCACAAACTACCCACCCTGATGATTACAGATCATTTAGTTAAAGTGGAGCTTTACATATGCCAGATTGCCCTGCCATTCAACCACACTTTTGTCCATGCTGCCTTCCAGTCAGCCCTCTTCACCTTCAGTGATTCTGGGAGAATCGTTTTTGCAGTTATAAAGGACACTCGTTAGAGGTCTGGTCATTCTTTACCCATTTTATTGCTTCAGGAACCTGCTGAAAATGTGACTTAGAGCAATCCTAGACTCATGTGTTAAGCTGCACATAACCAGGTTCTTTAATAACACTATGTACCATTAATATACAGAGTCCACAAATGATGGGTAATAGCTCTGATCCTCTGGTTTGGGGTTTAAGAAGTGCTTCCCTTGAATAAACAACTAAAGGTTTCTTGGAAAGAGTATTGCTGAAAGGAACAGAGCTTTGAATTTGTTATAATCTTAATGGAAAATAGTGTTTTATATGATGGCCACATGTTGTATATATGGAGAAAAATATGCTTGATCAGGGTTTCATTCTATAAGCTAGACCACTCATAAGACCTTTCCCTTCCAGGTCCTAGAATGATGACTGCAAATTCCAGGTAGCTACAACAATCCAAGCATCCCCATGTAAGAAGTTTTGCAGGAGTCTTTTAATATAAGACTTTATGTAGAAATGAAAAAGATTACATAACAATTATTAAAACCATAATAAAAGGTAAATCTATGTCCACCTTGCTATGTAAATAACAATAATAATATCCAGCATTTACATGGTGCTTACAATGGCATAGGTGTCTAAGAACTTTTGATACCTGAGACTATGATATAGAGAGGGTGGCCTTAAAGTTGGGACACACAGACAATGGACACTATATTATAAATGGTTTCTAGATCTTGCATTACAGTGTATGATATGTCCAATGTGCTGTGCAAAATTGCAATGAACATGCTGCATTAATTCAGCATTGCTATCAATCTCTGCACATGCTTCTGTGATGTGTTGCCTCAGATGATATACATTTCTGCTTTTCCACTAAATATGTGCTTTTAGGAAACCCCAGGAGAAGTAAATCAGGGGTTCAAAATGTAAAAAAATAAACTATGATAGCATAGTAGCATCTGCTTCTGGATTTTATGGCTATTGTGTATTATCTCCATTTTAAAGATGACGAAACTGAGGCTCAGAGAAGTTAGGTAACTTGCACAAGGTCATAGATCTAGAAGTGGTGAAGGGATGATTTAAATCAAAGCCATTCTATGTTAGAGTCCATGGTCTCATTAGAAGAATAAATGAAAAAAAAAACTATAAATACTTACATAGTAGCTTCATGATATAAAGTTGTAGTCTCTTTGCTGGTCCAGTGCAATTTTTTTGTCTTCTATTTTCCCAATCACATATCTGTTTATTTGTTTCCTACCCTGTTGTATAACAGGAGAGTCACTGCTTTGTATCAAGGTCCTTATTTCTTATTATTGCAAGATTTTTCAGGCTTTATCAATGCCACTGCTAAGGTTGTTCATACTGCAAAATGACTGCTGCAAGTCACTCGTGCAACAGGAATGGCCTTTCTTGCTAACTTCTGTGTCCTGCGACCTTCATTGTTTCTGTCTCTCTGTCAGCCATGGTTGTGTGCTTTGCAAGCTGCTACAACAATATTCAATTCATTTTGTTTGGAAAGAATAACTTCCAATTGTGTTGACACTGACCAATGACTGGGTAAACGTGTGGATAGCATTATACTTCCTTTTAGACACTGTTACATGACCACAGTGGTTACGATATCTTAGATTTACTGTTCATTTCATGCCTAGTGTCATGTAGACCATTCGACTTATGACATTCATGGATATATACACATATATTTTTGGCAAGTGGAAAGAATGACAAAGGAGACAGTTGTGTGGCTTCCTTTCACATGTTAACATGACTTCCCAATTCTATTTTTTTCTTAAATGGCAAATCTCTGAATGATCTCTCTCTTAAGAATGATGCCTCAGACCTAAAATAAGTTTTGACGACCCATAGCCTTCAGGATGAAGTCAATTTGTTAGGAATCTGCTCTTTAATACGGGATGTCTAGTGGGTCCATGCACAATAAGGAGATGATTATAATTAGCTATTAAATTATTAGTGGTGGACAGTTTTCA